>NC_000023.11:59487534-59532975 GCF_000001405.40 Homo sapiens | reverse complement strand
TCCGTTCAGTTATGGGAAGTTGATCCCGTTTCCAATGAAATCCTCAGAGAGGTCCAAATATCCCCTTGCAGATTCTACAAAACGTGTGTTTGGAAACTGCTCCATCATAACGAATGTTCAGCTCTCTGAGTTAAACTCCATCGTCACAAAGAATTTTCTGAGAGTGCTACCGTCTGGTTTTTATATGAAGTTCTTTCCTTCACTACCACAGGCCTCAAAGCGGTCCAAATCTCCACTTGCAGATTCTACAAAAAGAGTGTTTGCAAACTGCTCTATCAAAAGGAATGTTCAACTCTGGGAGTTGAATGCAATCATCACAGAGCAGTTTCTGAGAATGCTTCTATGTCGTTTTTAGGAGAAGATATTTCCTTTTCCAACACAGTCCCCCAAGCCCGCTAAATAGCCACTTGCACATTGTAGAAAAAGTGTGTCAAAGCTGCGCTATCAAAGGGAAAGTTCAACTCTGTGAGGTGAATGCAAACATCCCAAAGAAGTTTCTGAGAATGCTTCCGTTTAGCTTTTAGGTGAAGATTATCCCGTTTCCAACGAAACCTTCAAAGAGGTCCAAATATCCCCTTGCGGATCCCACAGAAAGAGTGTTTCGAAACTGCTGTTTCAAAAGGAATCTTCAACTCTGTGAGTTGAATGCAATCATCACAAAGAAGTTTCTGACAATGCTTCTCTCTCGTCTTTCTGTGAAGATAAAGGAAAAGGCTTTCAGGCCTTTGCCACCACAGGCCTGAAAGCGCTCCAAATGTCCACTTGCAGATTCTGCGAAAAGAATATTTCAAAACTGCTCTATGAAAAGCAATGTTAAACTCTGTGGCTCGAACACAAACATCACAAAGCGGTTTCTGAGAATGCTTCAGTTTAGTTTTTCTGTGGAAATATTCCCGTTTCCAAAGAAATCTTCAAAGAGGTCCACGTATCCACTTACAGATTCTACAAAAAGACAGTTTCAAAACTGCTCCATCAAAAGGAGGGTTCAACTGTGTGACTTGAATGCAATCATCACTCAGAAGTTTCTGAGAATGCTTCTCTTTAGTTTTTACGTGAACATATACCCGTTTCGAACGAAGGCCACCCAGTGGTCCAAATATCCACTTGCAGATTATACAGAAAGTGTGTTTCGAACCTGAACTCTCAAAGGCAGGTTCATCTCTGCGAGTTAAATGCATTCATCATGAAGAACTTTCTCAGCGTGTTTGTGTTTAGTTATGGGAAATTATTCCCGTTTCCAACGAAATCCTCAGAGAGCTCCAAATATCCACCTGCAGATTCTACCAAAAGTGTATTTGGAAACTGCTCCATCAAAAGGCATGTTCAGCTCTGTGAGTGAAACTCCATCATCACAATGAATATTCTGAGAATGCTTCCGTTTGCCTTTTATATGAAGTTCCTTCCTGTACTACCGTAGGCCTCAAAGCAGTCCAAATCTCCATTTGCAGATTCTATAAAAAGAGTGATTCCAATCTGCTCTATCAATAGGATTGTTCAACTCCATGAGTTGAATGCCATCCTCACAAAGTAGTTTCTGAGAATGCTTCTATCTGGTTTTTGTGTGAAGATATTTCCTTTTCCACCACAGGCCTCAAAGCCCTCCAAACGTCCACTTGCAGATTCTCGAAAAAGAGTGTTTTATAGCTGCTCTTTCAAAAGGAAAGTTCAACTCTGGGAGTTGAATACAAACATCACAAAGTAGTTTCCGAGAATGCTTCTGTTTAGTTTTTATGTGAAGATGATCCCGTTTCCAGTGAAATCTTCAAACAGGTCCACATATCCCCTTGCAGATTCCAAAGAAAGAGGGTTTCAAAACTGCTCCATCAGAAGGATTGTTCAACTCTGTGAGTTGAATGCAGTCATCGCAGAAAACTTTCTGAGAATGCTTCTGTCTAGGTTTGATGTGAAGATATAGACGTTTCAAACGAAGGCTACAAAGTGGTCAAAATATACACTTGCAGATTCTACTACAAGGGTGTTGCAAACCTGAACTATCAAAGGAAGGTTCAACTCTGTGAGTTGAATACAAACATCACAAAGAATGTTCTGAGTTTGCTTCCGTTCAGTTATGGGAAGTTGATCCCGTTTCCAACGAAATCCTCAGAGAGGTCCAAATATCCCCTTGCAGATTCTACAAAACGTGTGTTTGGAAACTGCTCCATCATAACGAATGTTCAGCTCCCTGAGTTAAACTCCATCGTCACAAAGAATTTTCTGAGAGTGCTACCGTCTGGTTTTTATATGAAGCTCTTTCCTTCACTACCACAGGCCTCAAAGCGGTCCAAATCTCCACTTGCAGATTCTACAAAAAGAGTGTTTGCAAACTGCTCTATCAAAAGGAATGTTCAACTCTGGGAGTTGAATGCAATCATCACAGAGCAGTTTCTGAGAATGCTTCTATGTCGTTTTTAGGAGAAGATATTTCCTTTTCCAACACAGTCCTCCAAGCCCGCTAAATAGCCACTTGCACATTGTAGAAAAAGTGTGTCAAAGCTGCGCTATCAAAGGGAAAGTTCAACTCTGTGAGGTGAATGCAAACATCCCAAAGAAGTTTCTGAGAATGCTTCCGTTTAGCTTTTAGGTGAAGATTATCCCGTTTCCAACGAAACCTTCAAAGAGGTCCAAATATCCCCTTGCGGATCCCACAGAAAGAGTGTTTCGAAACTGCTGTTTCAAAAGGAATCTTCAACTCTGTGAGTTGAATGCAATCATCACAAAGAAGTTTCTGACAATGCTTCTCTCTCGTCTTTCTGTGAAGATAAAGGAAAAGGCTTTCAGGCCTTTTCCACCACAGGCCTGAAAGCGCTCCAAATGTCCACTTGCAGATTCTGCGAAAAGAATATTTCAAAACTGCTCTATGAAAAGCAATGTTAAACTCTGTGGCTCGAACACAAACATCAAAAAGCGGTTTCTGAGAATGCTTCAGTTTAGTTTTTCTGTGGAAATATTCCCGTTTCCAAAGAAATCTTCAAAGAGGTCCACGTATCCACTTACAGATTCTACAAAAAGACAGTTTCAAAACTGCTCCATCAAAAGGAGGGTTCAACTGTGTGACTTGAATGCAATCATCACTCACAAGTTTCTGAGAATGCTTCTCTTTAGTTTTTAAGTGAACATATACCCGTTTCGAACGAAGGCCAGCCAGTGGTCCAAATATCCACTTGCAGATTCTACAGAAAGAGTGTTTCGAACCTGAACTCTCAAAGGCAGGTTCATCTCTGCGAGTTAAATGCATTCATCATGAAGAACTTTCTCAGAGTGTTTGTGTTTAGTTATGGGAAATTATTCCCGTTTCCAACGAAATCCTCAGAGAGCTCCAAATATCCACCTGCAGATTCTACCAAAAGTGTATTTGGAAACTGCTCCATCAAAAGGCATGTTCAGCTCTGTGAGTGAAACTCCATCATCACAAAGAATATTCTGAGAATGCTTCCGTTTGCCTTTTATATGAAGTTCCTTCCTATACGACCGTAGGCCTCAAAGCAGTCCAAATCTCCATTTGCAGATTCTACAAAAAGAGTGATTCCAATCTGCTCTATCAATAGGATTGTTCAACTCCATGAGTTGAATGCCATCCTCACAAAGTAGTTTCTGAGAATGCTTCTATCTGGTTTTTGTGTGAAGATATTTCCTTTTCCACCACAGGCCTCAAAGCCCTCCAAACGACCACTTGCAGATTCTCGAAAAAGAGTGTTTCATAGCTGCTCTTTCAAAAGGAAAGTTCAACTCTGGGAGTTGAATACAAACATCACAAAATAGTTTCCGAGAATGCTTCTGTTTAGTTTTTATGTGAAGATGATCCCGTTTCCAGTGAAATCTTCAAAGAGGTCCACATATCCCCTTGCAGATTCCAAAGAAAGAGGGTTTCAAAACTGCTCCATCAAAAGGATTCTTCAACTCTGTGAGTTGAATGCAGTCATCGCAGAAAACTTTCTGAGAATGCTTCTGTCTAGGTTTGATGTGAAGATATAGACGTTTCAAACGAAGGCTACAAAGTGGTCAAAATATACACTTGCAGATTCTACTACAAGGGTGTTGCAAACCTGAACTCTCAAAGGAAGGTTCAACTCTGTGAGTTGAATACAAACATCACAAAGAATGTTCTGAGTTTGCTTCCGTTCAGTTATGGGAAGTTGATCCCGTTTCCAACGAAATCCTCAGAGAGGTCCAAATATCCCCTTGCAGATTCTGCAAAACGTGTGTTTGGAAACTGCTCCATCATAACGAATGTTCAGCTCTCTGAGTTAAACTCCATCGTCACAAAGAATTGTCTGAAAGTGCTACCGTCTAGTTTTTATATGAAGTTCTTTCCTTTACTACCACAGGCCTCAAAGCGGTCCAAATCTCCACTTGCAGATTCTACAAAAAGAGTGTTTGCAAACTGCTCTATCAAAAGGAATGTTCAACTCTGGGAGTTGAATGCAATCATCACAGAGCAGTTTCTGAGAATGCTTCTATGTCGTTTTTAGGAGAAGATATTTCCTTTTCCAACACAGTCCTCCAAGCCCGCTAAATATCCACTTGCACATTGTAGAAAAAGTGTGTCGAAGCTGCGCTATCAAAGGGAAAGTTCAAGTCTGTGAGGTGAATGCAAACATCCCAAAGAAGTTTCTGAGAATGCTTCCGTTTAGCTTTTAGGTGAAGATTATCCCGTTTCCAACGAAATCTTCAAAGAGGTCCAAATATCCCCTTGCGGATCCCACAGAAAGAGTGTTTTGAAACTGCTGTTTCAAAAGGAATCTTCAACTCTGTGAGTTGAATGCAATCATCACAAAGAAGTTTCTGACAATGCTTCTCTCTCGTCTTTCTGTGAAGATAAAGGAAAAGGCTTTCAGGCCTTTTCCACCACAGGCCTGAAAGCGCTCCAAATGTCCACTTGCAGATTCTGCCAAAAGAATATTTCAAAACTGCTCTATGAAAAGCAATGTTAAACTACTGTGGCTCGAACACAAACATCACAAAGCAGTTTCTGAGAATGCTTCAGTTTAGTTTTTCTGTGGAAATATTCCCGTTTCCAAAGAAATCTTCAAAGGGGGTCCACGTATCCACTTACAGATTCTACAAAAAGACAGTTTCAAAACTGCTCCATCAAAAGGAGGGTTCAACTGTGTGACTTGAATGCAATCATCACTCAGAAGTTTCTGAGAATGCTTCTCTTTAGTTTTTACGTGAACATATACCCGTTTCGAACGAAGGCCACCCAGTGGTCCAAATATCCACTTGCAGATTATACAGAAAGAGTGTTTCGAACCTGAACTCTCAAAGGCAGGTTCATCTCTGCGAGTTAAATGCATTCATCATGAAGAACTTTCTCAGAGTGTTTGTGTTTAGTTATGGGAAATTATTCCCGTTTCCAACGAAATCCTCAGAGTGGTCCAAATATCCACCTGCAGATTCTACCAAAAGTGTATTTGGAAACTGCTCCATCAAAAGGCATGTTCAGCTCTGTGAGTGAAACTCCATCATCACAAAGAATATTCTGAGAATGCTTCCGTTTGCCTTTTATATGAAGTTCCTTCCTATACGACCGTAGGCCTCAAAGCAGTCCAAATCTCCATTTGCAGATTCTACAAAAAGAGTGATTCCAATCTGCTCTATCAATAGGATTGTTCAACTCCATGAGTTGAATGCCATCCTCACAAAGTCGTTTCTGAGAATGCTTCTATCTAGTTTTTATGTGAAGATATTTCCTTTTCCACCACAGGCCTCAAAGCCCTCCAAACGTCCACTTGCAGATTCTCGAAAAAGAGTGTTTTATAGCTGCTCTTTCAAAAGGAAAGTTCAACTCTGGGAGTTGAATACAAACATCACAAAGTAGTTTCCGAGAATGCTTCTGTTTAGTTTTTATGTGAAGATGATCCCGTTTCCAGTGAAATCTTCAAAGAGGTCCACATATCCCCTTGCAGATTCCAAAGAAAGAGGGTTTCAAAACTGCTCCATCAGAAGGATTGTTCAACTCTGTGAGTTGAATGCAGTCATCGCAGAAAACTTTCTGAGAATGCTTCTGTCTAGGTTTGATGTGAAGATATAGATGTTTCAAACGAAGGCTACAAAGTGGTCAAAATATACACTTGCAGATTCTACTACAAGGGTGTTGCAAACCTGAACTATCAAAGGAAGGTTCAACTCTGTGAGTTGAATACAAACATCACAAAGAATGTTCTGAGTTTGCTTCCGTTCAGTTATGGGAAGTTGATCCCGTTTCCAACGAAATCCTCAGAGAGGTCCAAATATCCCCTTGCAGATTCTACAAAACGTGTGTTTGGAAACTGCTCCATCATAACGAATGTTCAGCTCCCTGAGTTAAACTCCATCGTCACAAAGAATTTTCTGAGAGTGCTACCGTCTGGTTTTTATATGAAGTTCTTTCGTTCACTACCACAGGCCTCAAAGCGGTCCAAATCTCCACTTGCAGATTCTACAAAAAGAGTGTTTGCAAACTGCTCTATCAAAAGGAATGTTCAACTCTGGGAGTTGAATGCAATCATCACAGAGCAGTTTCTGAGAATGCTTCTATGTCGTTTTTAGAAGATATTTCCTTTTCCAACACAGTCCTCCAAGCCCGCTAAATAGCCACTTGCACATTGTAGAAAAAGTGTGTCAAAGCTGCGCTATCAAAGGGAAAGTTCAACTCTGTGAGGTGAATGCAAACATCCCAAAGAAGTTTCTGAGAATGCTTCCGTTTAGCTTTTAGGTGAAGATTATCCCGTTTCCAACGAAACCTTCAAAGAGGTCCAAATATCCCCTTGCGGATCCCACAGAAAGAGTGTTTCGAAACTGCTGTTTCAAAAGGAATCTTCAACTCTGTGAGTTGAATGCAATCATCACAAAGAAGTTTCTGACAATGCTTCTCTCTCGTCTTTCTGTGAAGATAAAGGAAAAGGCTTTCAGGCCTTTGCCACCACAGGCCTGAAAGCGCTCCAAATGTCCACTTGCAGATTCTGCGAAAAGAATATTTCAAAACTGCTCTATGAAAAGCAATGTTAAACTCTGTGGCTCGAACACAAACATCACAAAGCAGTTTCTGAGAATGCTTCAGTTTAGTTTTTCTGTGGAAATATTCCCGTTTCCAAAGAAATCTTCAAAGAGGTCCACGTATCCACTTACAGATTCTACAAAAAGACAGTTTCAAAACTGCTCCATCAAAAGGAGGGTTCAACCGTGTGACTTGAATGCAATCATCACTCAGAAGTTTCTGAGAATGCTTCTCTTTAGTTTTTACGTGAACATATACCCGTTTCGAACGAAGGCCAGCCAGTGGTCCAAATATCCACTTGCAGATTCTACAGAAAGAGTGTTTCGAACCTGAACTCTCAAAGGCAGGTTCATCTCTGCGAGTTAAATGCATTCATCATGAAGAACTTTCTCAGAGTGTTTGTGTTTAGTTATGGGAAATTATTCCCGTTTCCAACGAAATCCTCAGAGAGCTCCAAATATCCACCTGCAGATTCTACCAAAAGTGTATTTGGAAACTGCTCCCATCTCAAAAGGCATGTTCAGCTCTGTGAGTGAAACTCCATCATCACAAAGAATATTCTGAGAATGCTTCCGTTTGCCTTTTATATGAAGTTCCTTCCTATACGACCGTAGGCCTCAAAGCAGTCCAAATCTCCATTTGCAGATTCTACAAAAAGAGTGATTCCAATCTGCTCTATCAATAGGATTGTTCAACTCCATGAGTTGAATGCCATCCTCACAAAGTAGTTTCTGAGAATGCTTCTATCTAGTTTTTATGTGAAGATATTTCCTTTTCCACCACAGGCCTCAAAGCCCTCCAAACGTCCACTTGCAGATTCTCGAAAAAGAGTGTTTCATAGCTGCTCTTTCAAAAGGAAAGTTCACCTCTGGCAGTTGAATACAAACATCACAAAGTAGTTTCCGAGAATGCTTCTGTTTAGTTTTTATGTGAAGATGATCCCGTTTCCAGTGAAATCTTCAAAGAGGTCCACATATCCCCTTGCAGATTCCAAAGAAAGAGGGTTTCAAAACTGCTCCATCAGAAGGATTGTTCAACTCTGTGAGTTGAATGCAGTCATCGCAGAAAACTTTCTGAGAATGCTTCTGTCTAGGTTTGATGTGAAGATATAGCATGTTTCAAACGAAGGCTACAAAGTGGTCAAAATATACACTTGCAGATTCTACTACAAGGGTGTTGCAAACCTGAACTATCAAAGGAAGGTTCAACTCTGTGAGTTGAATACAAACATCACAAAGAATGTTCTGAGTTTGCTTCCGTTCAGTTATGGGAAGTTGATCCCGTTTCCAACGAAATCCTCAGAGAGGTCCAAATATCCCCTCGCAGATTCTACAAAACGTGTGTTTGGAAACTGCTCCATCATAACGAATGTTCAGCTCCCTGAGTTAAACTCCATCGTCACAAAGAATTTTCTGAGAGTGCTACCGTCTGGTTTTTATATGAAGTTCTTTCCTTCACTACCACAGGCCTCAAAGCGGTCCAAATCTCCACTTGCAGATTCTACAAAAAGAGTGTTTGCAAACTGCTCTATCAAAAGGGAATGTTCAACTCTGGGAGTTGAATGCAATCATCACAGAGCAGTTTCTGAGAATGCTTCTATGTCGTTTTTAGAAGATATTTCCTTTTCCAACACAGTCCTCCAAGCCCGCTAAATAGCCACTTGCACATTGTAGAAAAAGTGTGTCAAAGCTGCGCTATCAAAGGGAAAGTTCAACTCTGTGAGGTGAATGCAAACATCCCAAAGAAGTTTCTGAGAATGCTTCCGTTTAGCTTTTAGGTGAAGATTATCCCGTTTCCAACGAAATCTTCAAAGAGTTCCAAATATCCCCTTGCGGATCCCACAGAAAGAGTGTTTCGAAACTGCTGTTTCAAAAGGAATCTTCAACTCTGTGAGTTGAATGCAATCATCACAAAGAAGTTTCTGACAATGCTTCTCTCTCGTCTTTCTGTGAAGATAAAGGAAAAGGCTTTCAGGCCTTTTCCACCACAGGCCTGAAAGCGCTCCAAATGTCCACTTGCAGATTCTGCCAAAAGAATATTTCAAAACTGCTCTATGAAAAGCAATGTTAAACTCTGCGGCTCGAACACAAACATCACAAAGCAGTTTCTGAGAATGCTTCAGTTTAGTTTTTCTGTGGAAATATTCCCGTTTCCAAAGAAATCTTCAAAGAGGTCCACGTATCCACTTACAGATTCTACAAAAAGACAGTTTCAAAACTGGTCAATCAAAAGGAGGGTTCAACTGTGTGACTTGAATGCAATCATCACTCAGAAGTTTCTGAGAACGCTTCTCTTTAGTTTTTACGTGAACATATACCCGTTTCGAACGAAGGCCAGCCAGTGGTCCAAATATCCACTTGCAGATTCTACAGAAAGAGTGTTTCGAATCTGAACTCTCAAAGGCAGGTTCATCTCTGTGAGTTAAATGCATTCATCATGAAGAACTTTCTCAGCGTGTTTGTGTTTAGTTATGGGAAATTATTCCCGTTTCCAACGAAATCCTCAGAGAGCTCCAAATATCCACCTGCAGATTCTACCAAAAGTGTATTTGGAAAGTGCTCCATCAAAAGGCATGTTCAGCTCTGTGAGTGAAACTCCATCATCACACAAAATATTCTGAGAATGCTTCCGTTTGCCTTTTATATGAAGTTCCTTCCTATACTACCGTAGGCCTCAAAGCAGTCCAAATCTCCATTTGCAGATTCTACAAAAAGAGTGATTCCAATCTCCTCTATCAATAGGACTGTTCAACTCCATGAGTTGAATGCCATCCTCACAAAGTCGTTTCTGAGAATGCTCTATCTAGTTTTTATGTGAAGATATTTCCTTTTCCACCACAGGCCTCAAAGCCCTCCAAACGTCCACTTGCAGATTCTCGAAAAAGAGTGTTTCATAGCTGCTCTTTCAAAAGGAAAGTTCAACTCTGGGAGTTGAATACAAACATCACAAAGTAGTTTCCGAGAATGCTTTCTGTTTAGTTTTTATGTGAAGATGATCCCGTTTCCAGTGAAATCTTCAAAGAGGTCCACATATCCCCTTGCAGATTCCAAAGAAAGAGGGTTTCAAAACTGCTCCATCAGAAGGATTGTTCAACTCTGTGAGTTGAATGCAGTCATCGCAGAAAACTTTCTGAGAATGCTTCTGTCTAGGTTTGATGTGAAGATATAGACGTTTCAAACGAAGGCTACAAAGTGGTCAAAATATACACTTGCAGATTCTACTACAAGGGTGTTGCAAACCTGAACTATCAAAGGAAGGTTCAACTCTGTGAATTGAATACAAACATCACAAAGAATGTTCTGAGTTTGCTTCCGTTCAGTTATGGGAAGTTGATCCCGTTTCCAACGAAATCCTCAGAGAGGTCCAAATATCCCCTTGCAGATTCTACAAAACGTGTGTTTGGAAACTGCTCCATCATAACGAATGTTCAGCTCCCTGAGTTAAACTCCATCGTCACAAAGAATTTTCTGAGAGTGCTACCGTCTGGTTTTTATATGAAGCTCTTTCCTTCACTACCACAGGCCTCAAAGCGGTCCAAATCTCCACTTGCAGATTCTACAAAAAGAGTGTTTGCAAACTGCTCTATCAAAAGGAATGTTCAACTCTGGGAGTTGAATGCAATCATCACAGAGCAGTTTCTGAGAATGCTTCTATGTCGTTTTTAGGAGAAGATATTTCCTTTTCCAACACAGTCCTCCAAGCCTGCTAAATAGCCACTTGCACATTGTAGAAAACGTGTGTCAAAGCTGCGCTATCAAAGGGAAAGTTCAACTCTGTGAGGTGAATGCAAACATCCCAAAGAAGTTTCTGAGAATGCTTCCGTTTAGCTTTTAGGTGAAGATTATCCCGTTTCCAACGAAACCTTCAAAGAGGTCCAAATATCCCCTTGCGGATCCCACAGAAAGAGTGTTTCGAAACTGCTGTTTCAAAAGGAATCTTCAACTCTGTGAGTTGAATGCAATCATCACAAAGAAGTTTCTGACAATGCTTCTCTCTCGTCTTTCTGTGAAGATAAAGGAAAAGGCTTTCAGGCCTTTTCCACCACAGGCCTGAAAGCGCTCCAAATGTCCACTTGCAGATTCTGCCAAAAGAATATTTAAAAACTGCTCTATGAAAAGCAATGTTAAACTCTGTGGCTCGAACACAAACATCACAAAGCGGTTTCTGAGAATGCTTCAGTTTAGTTTTTCTGTGGAAATATTCCCGTTTCCAAAGAAATCTTCAAAGAGGTCCACGTATCCACTTACAGATTCTACAAAAAGACAGTTTCAAAACTGCTCCATCAAAAGGAGGGTTCAACTGTGTGACTTGAATGCAATCATCACTCAGAAGTTTCTGAGAATGCTTCTCTTTAGTTTTTACGTGAACATATACCCGTTTCGAACGAAGGCCAGCCAGTGGTCCAAATATCCACTTGCAGATTCTACAGAAAGAGTGTTTCGAACATGAACTCTCAAAGGCAGGTTCATCTCTGCGAGTTAAATGCATTCATCATGAAGAACTTTCTCAGAGTGTTTGTGTTTAGTTATGGGAAATTATTCCCGTTTCCAACGAAATCCTCAGAGAGGTCCAAATATCCACCTGCAGATTCTACCAAAAGTGTATTTGGAAACTGCTCCATCAAAAGGCATGTTCAGCTCTGTGAGTGAAACTCCATCATCACAAAGAATATTCTGAGAATGCTTCCGTTTGCCTTTTATATGAAGTTCCTTCCTATACGACCGTAGGCCTCAAAGCAGTCCAAATCTCCATTTGCAGATTCTACAAAAAGAGTGATTCCAATCTGCTCTATCAATAGGATTGTTCAACTCCATGAGTTGAATGCCATCCTCACAAAGTCGTTTCTGAGAATGCTTCTATCTAGTTTTTATGTGAAGATATTTCCTTTTCCACCACAGGCCTCAAAGCCCTCCAAACGTCCACTTGCAGATTCTCGAAAAAGAGTGTTTCATAGCTGCTCTTTCAAAAGGAAAGTTCAACTCTGGGAGTTGAATACAAACATCACAAAGTAGTTTCCGAGAATGCTTCTGTTTAGTTTTTATGTGAAGATGATCCCGTTTCCAGTGAAATCTTCAAAGAGGTCCACATATCCCCTTGCAGATTCCAAAGAAAGAGGGTTTCAAAACTGCTCCATCAGAAGGATTGTTCAACTCTGTGAGTTGAATGCAGTCATCGCAGAAAACTTTCTGAGAATGCTTCTGTCTAGGTTTGATGTGAAGGTATAGACGTTTCAAACGAAGGCTACAAAGTGGTCAAAATATACACTTGCAGATTCTACTACAAGGGTGTTGCAAACCTGAACTATCAAAGGAAGGTTCAACTCTGTGAGTTGAATACAAACATCACAAAGAATGTTCTGAGTTTGCTTCCGTTCAGTTATGGGAAGTTGATCCCGTTTCCAACGAAATCCTCAGAGAGGTCCAAATATCCCCTTGCAGATTCTACAAAACGTGTGTTTGGAAACTGCTCCATCATAACGAATGTTCAGCTCCCTGAGTTAAACTCCATCGTCACAAAGAATTTTCTGAGAGTGCTACCGTCTGGTTTTTATATGAAGTTCTTTCCTTCACTACCACAGGCCTCAAAGCGGTCCAAATCTCCACTTGCAGATTCTACAAAAAGAGTGTTTGCAAACTGCTCTATCAAAAGGAATGTTCAACTCTGGGAGTTGAATGCAATCATCACAGAGCAGTTTCTGAGAATGCTTCTATGTCGTTTTTAGGAGAAGATATTTCCTTTTCCAACACAGTCCTCCAAGCCCGCTAAATATCCACTTGCACATTGTAAAAAAAGTGTGTCGAAGCTGCGCTATCAAAGGGAAAGTTCAACTCTGTGAGGTGAATGCAAACATCCCAAAGAAGTTTCTGAGAATGCTTCCGTTTAGCTTTTAGGTGAAGATTATCCCGTTTCCAACGAAATCTTCAAAGAGGTCCAAATATCCCCTTGCGGATCCCACAGAAAGAGTGTTTCGAAACTGCTGTTTCAAAAGGAATCTTCAACTCTGTGAGTTGAATGCAATCATCACAAAGAAGTTTCTGACAATGCTTCTCTCTCGTCTTTCTGTGAAGATAAAGGAAAAGGCTTTCAGGCCTTTTCCACCACAGGCCTGAAAGCGCTCCAAATGTCCACTTGCAGATTCTGCCAAAAGAATATTTCAAAACTGCTCTATGAAAAGCAATGTTAAACTCTGCGGCTCGAACACAAACATCACAAAGCAGTTTCTGAGAATGCTTCAGTTTAGTTTTTCTGTGGAAATATTCCCGTTTCGAAAGAAATCTTCAAAGAGGTCCACGTATCCACTTACAGATTCTACAAAAAGACAGTTTCAAAACTGCTCAATCAAAAGGAGGGTTCAACCGTGTGACTTGAATGCAATCATCACTCAGAAGTTTCTGAGAATGCTTCTCTTTAGTTTTTACGTGAACATATACCCGTTTCGAACGAAGGCCACCCAGTGGTCCAAATATCCACTTGCAGATTCTACAGAAAGAGTGTTTCGAACCTGAACTCTCAAAGGCAGGTTCATCTCTGCGAGTTCAATGCATTCATCATGAAGAACTTTCTCAGAGTGTTTGTGTTTAGGTATGGGAAATTATTGCCGTTTCCAACGAAATCCTCAGAGAGGTCCAAATATCCACCTGCAGATTCTACCAAAAGTGTATTTGGAAACTGCTCCATCAAAAGGCATGTTCAGCTCTGTGAGTGAAACTCCATCATCACAAAGAATATTCTGAGAATGCTTCCGTTTGCCTTTTATATGAACTTCCTTCCTGTACTACCGTAGGCCTCAAAGCAGTCCAAATCTCCATTTGCAGATTCTACAAAAAGAGTGATTCCAATCTGCTCTATCAATAGGATTGTTCAACTCCATGAGTTGAATGCCATCCTCACAAAGTAGTTTCTGAGAATGCTTCTATCTGGTTTTTGTGTGAAGATATTTCCTTTTCCACCACAGGCCTCAAAGCCCTCCAAACGTCCACTTGCAGATTCTCGAAAAAGAGTGTTTCATAGCTGCTCTTTCAAAAGGAAAGTTCAACTCTGGGAGTTGAATACAAACATCACAAAATAGTTTCCAAGAATGCTTCTGTTTAGTTTTTATGTGAAGATGATCCCGTTTCCAGTGAAATCTTCAAAGAGGTCCACATATCCCCTTGCAGATTCCAAAGAAAGAGGGTTTCAAAACTGCTCCATCAAAAGGATTGTTCAACTCTGTGAGTTGAATGCAGTCATCGCAGAAAACTTTCTGAGAATGCTTCTGTCTAGGTTTGATGTGAAGATATAGACGTTTCAAACGAAGGCTACAAAGTGATCAAAATATACACTTGCAGATTCTACTACAAGGGTGTTGCAAACCTGAACTATCAAAGGAAGGTTCAACTCTGTGAGTTGAATACAAACATCACAAAGAATGTTCTGAGTTTGCTTCCGTTCAGTTATGGGAAGTTGATCCCGTTTCCAACGAAATCCTCAGAGAGGTCCAAATATCCCCTTGCAGATTCTACAAAACGTGTGTTTGGAAACTGCTCCATCATAACGAATGTTCAGCTCCCTGAGTTAAACTCCATCGTCACAAAGAATTTTCTGAGAGTGCTACCGTCTGGTTTTTATATGAAGTTCTTTCCTTCACTACCACAGGCCTCAAAGCGGTCCAAATCTCCACTTGCAGATTCTACAAAAAGAGTGTTTGCAAACTGCTCTATCAAAAGGAATGTTCAACTCTGGGAGTTGAATGCAATCATCACAGAGCAGTTTCTGAGAATGCTTCTATGTCGTTTTTAGGAGAAGATATTTCCTTTTCCAACACAGTCCTCCAAGCCCGCTAAATAGCCACTTGCACATTGTAGAAAAAGTGTGTCAAAGCTGCGCTATCAAAGGGAAAGTTCAACTCTGTGAGGTGAATGCAAACATCCCAAAGAAGTTTCTGAGAATGCTTCCGTTTAGCTTTTAGGTGAAGATTATCCCGTTTCCAACGAAACCTTCAAAGAGGTCCAAATATCCCCTTGCGGATCCCACAGAAAGAGTGTTTCGAAACTGCTGTTTCAAAAGGAATCTTCAACTCTGTGAGTTGAATGCAATCATCACAAAGAAGTTTCTGACAATGCTTCTCTCTCGTCTTTCTGTGAAGATAAAGGAAAAGGCTTTCAGGCCTTTGCCACCACAGGCCTGAAAGCGCTCCAAATGTCCACTTGCAGATTCTGCGAAAAGAATATTTCAAAACTGCTCTATGAAAAGCAATGTTAAACTCTGTGGCTCGAACACAAACATCACAAAGCGGTTTCTGAGAATGCTTCAGTTTAGTTTTTCTGTGGAAATATTCCCGTTTCCAAAGAAATCTTCAAAGAGGTCCACGTATCCACTTACAGATTCTACAAAAAGACAGTTTCAAAACTGCTCCATCAAAAGGAGGGTTCAACTGTGTGACTTGAATGCAATCATCACTCAGAAGTTTCTGAGAATGCTTCTCTTTAGTTTTTACGTGAACATATACCCGTTTCGAACGAAGGCCACCCAGTGGTCCAAATATCCACTTGCAGATTATACAGAAAGAGTGTTTCGAACCTGAACTCTCAAAGGCAGGTTCATCTCTGCGAGTTAAATGCATTCATCATGAAGAACTTTCTCAGAGTGTTTGTGTTTAGTTATGGGAAATTATTCCCGTTTCCAACGAAATCCTCAGAGAGCTCCAAATATCCACCTGCAGATTCTACCAAAAGTGTATTTGGAAACTGCTCCATCAACAGGCATGTTCAGCTCTGTGAGTGAAACTCCATCATCACAAAGAATATTCTGAGAATGCTTCCGTTTGCCTTTTATCTGAAGTTCCTTCCTATACGACCGTAGGCCTCAAAGCAGTCCAAATCTCCATTTGCAGATTCTACAAAAAGAGTGATTCCAATCTGCTCTATCAATAGGATTGTTCAACTCCATGAGTTGAATGCCATCCTCACAAAGTAGTTTCTGAGAATGCTTCTATCTAGTTTTTATGTGAAGGTATTTCCTTTTCCACCACAGGCCTCCAAGCCCTCCAAACGTCCACTTGCAGATTCTCGAAAAAGAGTGTTTCATAGCTGCTCTTTCAAAAGGAAAGTTCAACTCTGGGAGTTGAATACAAACATCACAAAGTAGTTTCCGAGAATGCTTCTGTTTAGTTTTTATGTGAAGATGATCCCGTTTCCAGTGAAATCTTCAAAGAGGTCCACATATCCCCTTGCACATTCCAAAGAAAGAGGGTTTCAAAACTGCTCCATCAGAAGGATTGTTCAACTCTGTGAGTTGAATGCAGTCATCGCAGAAAACTTTCTGAGAATGCTTCTGTCTAGGTTTGATGTGAAGATATAGACGTTTCAAATGAAGGCTACAAAGTGGTCAAAATATACACTTGCAGATTCTACTACAAGGGTGTTGCAAACCTGAACTATCAAAGGAAGGTTCAACTCTGTGAGTTGAATACAAACATCACAAAGAATGTTCTGAGTTTGCTTCCGTTCAGTTATGGGAAGTTGATCCCGTTTCCAACGAAATCCTCAGAGAGGTCCAAATATCCCCTTGCAGATTCTACAAAACGTGTGTTTGGAAACTGCTCCATCATAACGAATGTTCAGCTCCCTGAGTTAAACTCCATCGTCACAAAGAATTTTCTGAGAGTGCTACCGTCTGGTTTTTATATGAAGTTCTTTCCTTCACTACCACAGGCCTCAAAGCGGTCCAAATCTCCACTTGCAGATTCTACAAAAAGAGTGTTTGCAAACTGCTCTATCAAAAGGAATGTTCAACTCTGGGAGTTGAATGCAATCATCACAGAGCAGTTTCTGAGAATGCTTCTATGTCGTTTTTAGGAGAAGATATTTCCTTTTCCAACACAGTCCTCCAAGCCCGCTAAATAGCCACTTGCACATTGTAGAAAAAGTGTGTCAAAGCTGCGCTATCAAAGGGAAAGTTCAACTCTGTGAGGTGAATGCAAACATCCCAAAGAAGTTTCTGAGAATGCTTCCGTTTAGCTTTTAGGTGAAGATTATCCCGTTTCCAACGAAACCTTCAAAGAGGTCCAAATATCCCCTTGCGGATCCCACAGAAAGAGTGTTTCGAAACTGCTGTTTCAAAAGGAATCTTCAACTCTGTGAGTTGAATGCAATCATCACAAAGAAGTTTCTGACAATGCTTCTCTCTCGTCTTTCTGTGAAGATAAAGGAAAAGGCTTTCAGGCCTTTTCCACCACAGGCCTGAAAGCGCTCCAAATGTCCACTTGCAGATTCTGCCAAAAGAATATTTCAAAACTGCTCTATGAAAAGCAATGTTAAACTCTGTGGCTCGAACACAAACATCACAAAGCAGTTTCTGAGAATGCTTCAGTTTAGTTTTTCTGTGGAAATATTCCCGTTTCCAAAGAAATCTTCAAAGAGGTCCACGCATCCACTTACAGATTCTACAAAAAGACAGTTTCAAAACTGCTCAATCAAAAGGAGGGTTCAACTGTGTGACTTGAATGCAATCATCACTCAGAAGTTTCTGAGAACGCTTCTCTTTAGTTTTTACGTGAACATATACCCGTTTCGAACGAAGGCCAGCCAGTGGTCCAAATATCCACTTGCAGATTCTACAGAAAGAGTGTTTCGAACCTGAACTCTCAAAGGCAGGTTCATCTCTGCGAGTTAAATGCATTCATCATGAAGAACTTTCTCAGCGTGTTTGTGTTTAGTTATGGGAAATTATTCCCGTTTCCAACGAAATCCTCAGAGAGCTCCAAATATCCACCTGCAGATTCTACCAAAAGTGTATTTGGAAACTGCTCCATCAAAAGGCATGTTCAGCTCTGTGAGTGAAACTCCATCATCACAAAGAATATTCTGAGAATGCTTCCGTTTGCCTTTTATATGAAGTTCCTTCCTATACTACCGTAGGCCTCAAAGCAGTCCAAATCTCCATTTGCAGATTCTACAAAAAGAGTGATTCCAATCTCCTCTATCAATAGGACTGTACAACTCCATGAGTTGAATGCCATCCTCACAAAGTCGTTTCTGAGAATGCTTCTATCTAGTTTTTATGTGAAGATATTTCCTTTTCCACCACAGGCCTCAAAGCCCTCCAAACGTCCACTTGCAGATTCTCGAAAAAGAGTGTTTCATAGCTGCTCTTTCAAAAGGAAAGTTCAACTCTGGGAGTTGAATACAAACATCACAAAGTAGTTTCCGAGAATGCTTCTGTTTAGTTCTTATGTGAAGATGATCCCGTTTCCAGTGAAATCTTCAAAGAGGTCCACATATCCCCTTGCAGATTCCAAAGAAAGAGGGTTTCAAAACTGCTCCATCAAAAGGATTGTTCAACTCTGTGAGTTGAATGCAGTCATCGCAGAAAACTTTCTGAGAATGCTTCTGTCTAGGTTTGAGGTGAAGATATAGACGTTTCAAACGAAGGCTACAAAGTGGTCAAAATATACACTTGCAGATTCTACTACAAGGGTGTTGCAAACCTGAACTATCAAAGGAAGGTTCAACTCTGTGAGTTGAATACAAACATCACAAAGAATGTTCTGAGTTTGCTTCCGTTCAGTTATGGGAAGTTGATCCCGTTTCCAACGAAATCCTCAGAGAGGTCCAAATATCCCCTTGCAGATTCTACAAAACGTGTGTTTGGAAACTGCTCCATCATAACGAATGTTCAGCTCTCTGAGTTAAACTCCATCGTCACAAAGAATTTTCTGAGAGTGCTACCGTCTGGTTTTTATATGAAGTTCTTTCCTTTACTACCACAGGCCTCAAAGCGGTCCAAATCTCCACTTGCAGATTCTACAAAAAGAGTGTTTGCAAACTGCTCTATCAAAAGGAATGTTCAACTCTGGGAGTTGAATGCAATCATCACAGAGCAGTTTCTGAGAATGCTTCTATGTCGTTTTTAGGAGAAGATATTTCCTTTTCCAACACAGTCCTCCAAGCCCGCTAAATATCCACTTGCACATTGGAGAAAAAGTGTGTCGAAGCTGCGCTATCAAAGGGAAAGTTCACCTCTGTGAGGTGAATGCAAACATCCCAAAGAAGTTTCTGAGAATGCTTCCGTTTAGCTTTTAGGTGAAGATTATCCCGTTTCCAACGAAATCTTCAAAGAGGTCCAAATATCCCCTTGCGGATCCCACAGAAAGAGTGTTTCGAAACTGCTGTTTCAAAAGGAATCTTCAACTCTGTGAGTTGACTGCAATCATCACAAAGAAGTTTCTGACAATGCATCTCTCTCGTCTTTCTGTGAAGATAAAGGAAAAGGCTTTCAGGCTTTTTCCACCACAGGCCTGAAAGCGTTCCAAATGTCCACTTGCAGATTCTGCCAAAAGAATATTTCAAAACTGCTCTATGAAAAGCAATGTTAAACTCTGTGGCTCGAACACAAACATCACAAAGCAGTTTCTGAGAATGCTTCAGTTTAGTTTTTCTGAGGAAATATTCCCGTTTCGAAAGACATGTTCAAAGATGTCCACGCATCCACTTACAGATTCTACAAAAAGACAGTTTCAAAACTGCTCAATCAAAAGGAGGGTTCAACCGTGTGACTTGAATGCAATCATCACTCAGAAGTTTCTGAGAACGCTTCTCTTTAGTTTTTACGTGAACATATACCCGTTTCGAACGAAGGCCAGCCAGTGGTCCAAATATCCACTTGCAGATTCTACAGAAAGAGTGTTTCGAACCTGAACTCTCAAAGGCAGGTTCATCTCTGCGAGTTCAATGCATTCTAAATGAAGAACTTTCTCAGAGTGTTTTGTGTTTAGTTATGGGAAATTATTCCCGTTTCCAACGAAATCCTCAGAGAGCTCCAAATATCCACCTGCAGATTCTACCAAAAGTGTATTTGGAAACTGCTCCATCAAAAGGCATGTTCAGCTCTGTGAGTGAAACTCCATCATCACAAAGAATATTCTGAGAATGCTTCCGTTTGCCTTTTATATGAAGTTCCTTCCTATACGACCGTAGGCCTCAAAGCAGTCCAAATCTCCATTTGCAGATTCTACAAAAAGAGTGATTCCAATCTGCTCTATCAATAGGATTGTTCAACTCCATGAGTTGAATGCCATCCTCACAAAGTCGTTTCTGAGAATGCTTCTATCTAGTTTTTATGTGAAGATATTTCCTTTTCCACCACAGGCCTCAAAGCCCTCCAAACGTCCACTTGCAGATCCTCGAAAAAGAGTGTTTCATAGCTGCTCTTTCAAAAGGAAAGTTCAACTCTGGGAGTTGAATACAAACATCACAAAGTAGTTTCCGAGAATGCTTCTGTTTAGTTTTTATGTGAAGATGATCCCGTTTCCAGTGAAATCTTCAAAGAGGTCCACATATCCCCTTGCAGATTCCAAAGAAAGAGGGTTTCAAAACTGCTCCATCAGAAGGATTGTTCAACTCTGTGAGTTGAATGCAGTCATCGCAGAAAACTTTCTGAGAATGCTTCTTTCTAGGTTTGATGTGAAGATATAGACGTTTCAAACGAAGGCTACAAAGTGGTCAAAATATACACTTGCAGATTCTACTACAAGGGTGTTGCAAACCTGAACTATCAAAGGAAGGTTCAACTCTGTGAGTTGAATACAAACATCACAAAGAATGTTCTGAGTTTGCTTCCGTTCAGTTATGGGAAGTTGATCCCGTTTCCAACGAAATCCTCAGAGAGGTCCAAATATCCCCTTGCAGATTCTACAAAACGTGTGTTTGGAAACTGCTCCATCATAACGAATGTTCAGCTCCCTGAGTTAAACTCCATCGTCACAAAGAATTTTCTGAGAGTGCTACCGTCTGGTTTTTATATGAAGCTCTTTCCTTCACTACCACAGGCCTCAAAGCGGTCCAAATCTCCACTTGCAGATTCTACAAAAAGAGTGTTTGCAAACTGCTCTATCAAAAGGAATGTTCAACTCTGGGAGTTGAATGCAATCATCACAGAGCAGTTTCTGAGAATGCTTCTATGTCGTTTTTAGGAGAAGATATTTCCTTTTCCAACACAGTCCCCCAAGCCCGCTAAATAGCCACTTGCACATTGTGGAAAAAGTGTGTCAAAGCTGCGCTATCAAAGGGAAAGTTCAACTCTGTCAGGTGAATGCAAACATCCCAAAGAAGTTTCTGAGAATGCTTCCGTTTAGCTTTTAGGTGAAGATTATCCCGTTTCCAACGAAACCTTCAAAGAGGTCCAAATATCCCCTTGCGGATCCCACAGAAAGAGTGTTTCGAAACTGCTGTTTCAAAAGGAATCTTCAACTCTGTGAGTTGAATGCAATCATCACAAAGAAGTTTCTGACAATGCTTCTCTCTCGTCTTTCTGTGAAGATAAAGGAAAAGGCTTTCAGGCCTTTTCCACCACAGGCCTGAAAGCGCTCCAAATGTCCACTTGCAGATTCTGCCAAAAGAATATTTCAAAACTGCTCTATGAAAAGCAATGTTAAACTCTGTGGCTCGAACACAAACATCACAAAGCGGTTTCTGAGAATGCTTCAGTTTAGTTTTTCTGTGGAAATATTCCCGTTTCCAAAGAAATCTTCAAAGAGGTCCACGTATCCACTTACAGATTCTACAAAAAGACAGTTTCAAAACTGCTCCATCAAAAGGAGGGTTCAACTGTGTGACTTGAATGCAATCATCACTCAGAAGTTTCTGAGAATGCTTCTCTTTAGTTTTTACGTGAACATATACCCGTTTCGAACGAAGGCCAGCCAGTGGTCCAAATATCCACTTGCAGATTCTACAGAAAGAGTGTTTCGAACCTGAACTCTCAAAGGCAGGTTCATCTCTGCGAGTTAAATGCATTCATCATGAAGAACTTTCTCAGAGTGTTTGTGTTTAGTTATGGGAAATTATTCCCGTTTCCAACGAAATCCTCAGAGAGCTCCAAATATCCACCTGCAGATTCTACCAAAAGTGTATTTGGAAACTGCTCCATCAAAAGGCATGTTCAGCTCTGTGAGTGAAACTCCATCATCACAAAGAATATTCTGAGAATGCTTCCGTTTGCCTTTTATATGAAGTTCCTTCCTATACGACCGTAGGCCTCAAAGCAGTCCAAATCTCCATTTGCAGATTCTACAAAAAGAGTGATTCCAATCTGCTCTATCAATAGGATTGTTCAACTCCATGAGTTGAATGCCATCCTCACAAAGTAGTTTCTGAGAATGCTTCTATCTGGTTTTTGTGTGAAGATATTTCCTTTTCCACCACAGGCCTCAAAGCCCTCCAAACGACCACTTGCAGATTCTCGAAAAAGAGTGTTTCATAGCTGCTCTTTCAAAAGGAAAGTTCAACTCTGGGAGTTGAATACAAACATCACAAAATAGTTTCCGAGAATGCTTCTGTTTAGTTTTTATGTGAAGATGATCCCGTTTCCAGTGAAATCTTCAAAGAGGTCCACATATCCCCTTGCAGATTCCAAAGAAAGAGGGTTTCAAAACTGCTCCATCAAAAGGATTGTTCAACTCTGTGAGTTGAATGCAGTCATCGCAGAAAACTTTCTGAGAATGCTTCTGTCTAGGTTTGATGTGAAGATATAGACGTTTCAAACGAAGGCTACAAAGTGGTCAAAATATACACTTGCAGATTCTACTACAAGGGTGTTGCAAACCTGAACTATCAAAGGAAGGTTCAACTCTGTGAGTTGAATACAAACATCACAAAGAATGTTCTGAGTTTGCTTCCGTTCAGTTATGGGAAGTTGATCCCGTTTCCAACGAAATCCTCAGAGAGGTCCAAATATCCCCTTGCAGA
This sequence comes from Homo sapiens, assembly GCF_000001405.40. Taxonomy (NCBI): domain Eukaryota; kingdom Metazoa; phylum Chordata; class Mammalia; order Primates; family Hominidae; genus Homo; species Homo sapiens. The sequence goes on along the minus strand of NC_000023.11, from coordinate 59,510,274 downwards.
TTCTACAAAACGTGTGTTTGGAAACTGCTCCATCATAACGAATGTTCAGCTCCCTGAGTTAAACTCCATCGTCACAAAGAATTTTCTGAGAGTGCTACCGTCTGGTTTTTATATGAAGTTCTTTCCTTCACTACCACAGGCCTCAAAGCGGTCCAAATCTCCACTTGCAGATTCTACAAAAAGAGTGTTTGCAAACTGCTCTATCAAAAGGAATGTTCAACTCTGGGAGTTGAATGCAATCATCACAGAGCAGTTTCTGAGAATGCTTCTATGTCGTTTTTAGGAGAAGATATTTCCTTTTCCAACACAGTCCTCCAAGTCCGCTAAATAGCCACTTGCACATTGTAGAAAAAGTGTGTCAAAGCTGCGCTATCAAAGGGAAAGTTCAACTCTGAGAGGTGAATGCAAACATCCCAAAGAAGTTTCTGAGAGTGCTTCCGTTTAGCTTTTAGGTGAAGATTATCCCGTTTCCAACGAAACCTTCAAAGAAGTCCAAATATCCCCTTGCGGATCCCACAGAAAGAGTGTTTCGAAACTGCTGTTTCAAAAGGAATCTTCAACTCTGTGAGTTGAATGCAATCATCACAAAGAAGTTTCTGACAATGCTTCTCTCTCGTCTTTCTGTGAAGATAAATAAATGCTTTCAGGCCTTTGCCACCACAGGCCTGAAAGCGCTCCAAATGTCCACTTGCAGATTCTGCCAAAAGAATATTTCAAAACTGCTTTGTGAAAAGCAATGTTAAACTCTGTGGCTCGAACACAAACATCACAAAGCGGTTTCTGAGAATGCTTCAGTTTAGTTTTTCTGTGGAAATATTCCCGTTTCCAAAGAAATCTTCAAAGAGGTCCACGTATCCACTTACAGATTCTACAAAAAGACAGTTTCAAAACTGCTCCATCAAAAGGAGGGTTCAACTGTGTGACTTGAATGCAATCATCACTCAGAAGTTTCTGAGAATGCTTCTCTTTAGTTTTTACGTGAACATATACCCGTTTCGAACGAAGACCACCCAGTGGTCCAAATATCCACTTGCAGATTATACAGAAAGAGTGTTTCGAACCTGAACTCTCAAAGGCAGGTTCATCTCTGCGAGTTAAATGCATTCATCATGAAGAACTTTCTCAGAGTGTTTGTGTTTAGTTATGGGAAATTATTCCCGTTTCCAACGAAATCCTCAGAGAGCTCCAAATATCCACCTGCAGATTCTACCAAAAGTGTATTTGGAAACTGCTCCATCAAAAGGCATGTTCAGCTCTGTGAGTGAAACTCCATCATCACAAAGAATATTCTGAGAATGCTTCCGTTTGCCTTTTATATGAAGTTCCTTCCTGTACTACCGTAGGCCTCAAAGCAGTCCAAATCTCCATTTGCAGATTCTACAAAAAGAGTGATTCCAATCTGCTCTATCAATAGGATTGTTCAACTCCATGAGTTGAATGCCATCCTCACAAAGTAGTTTCTGAGAATGCTTCTATCTGGTTTTTGTGTGAAGATATTTCCTTTTCCACCACAGGCCTCAAAGCCCTCCAAACGTCCACTTGCAGATTCTCGAAAAAGAGTGTTTCATAGCTGCTCTTTCAAAAGGAAAGTTCAACTCTGGGAGTTGAATACAAACATCACAAAATAGTTTCCGAGAATGCTTCAGTTTAGTTTTTATGTGAAGATGATCCCGTTTCCAGTGAAATCTTCAAAGAGGTCCACATATCCCCTTGCAGATTCCAAAGAAAGAGGGTTTCAAAACTGCTCCATCAGAAGGATTGTTCAACTCTGTGAGTTGAATGCAGTCATCGCAGAAAACTTTCTGAGAATGCTTCTGTCTAGGTTTGATGTGAAGATATAGATGTTTCAACCGAAGGCTACAAAGTGGTCAAAATATACACTTGCAGATTCTACTACAAGGGTGTTGCAAACCTGAACTATCAAAGGAAGGTTCAACTCTGTGAGTTGAATACAAACATCACAAAGAATGTTCTGAGTTTGCTTCCGTTCAGTTATGGGAAGTTGATCCCGTTTCCAACGAAATCCTCAGAGAGGTCCAAATATCCCCTTGCAGATTCTACAAAACGTGTGTTTGGTAACTGCTCCATCATAACGAATGTTCAGCTCCCTGAGTTAAACTCCATCGTCACAAAGAATTTTCTGAGAGTGCTACCGTCTGGTTTTTGTATGAAGCTCTTTCCTTCACTACCACAGACCTCAAAGCGGTCCAAATCTCCACTTGCAGATTCTACAAAAAGAGTGTTTGCAAACTGCTCTATCAAAAGGAATGTTCAACTCTGGGAGTTGAATGCAATCATCACAGAGCAGTTTCTGAGAATGCTTCTATGTCGTTTTTAGGAGAAGATATTTCCTTTTCCAACACAGTCCTCCAAGCCCGCTAAATAGCCACTTGCACATTGTAGAAAAAGTGTGTCAAAGCTGCGCTATCAAAGGGAAAGTTCAACTCTGTGAGGTGAATGCAAACATCCCAAAGAAGTTTCTGAGAATGCTTCCGTTTAGCTTTTAGGTGAAGATTATCCCGTTTCCAACGAAACCTTCAAAGAGGTCCAAATATCCCCTTGCGGATCCCACAGAAAGAGTGTTTCGAAACTGCTGTTTCAAAAGGAATCTTCAACTCTGTGAGTTGAATGCAATCATCACAAAGAAGTTTCTGACAATGCTTCTCTCTCGTCTTTCTGTGAAGATAAAGGAAAAGGCTTTCAGGCCTTTTCCACCACAGGCCTGAAAGCGCTCCAAATGTCCACTTGCAGATTCTGTGAAAAGAATATTGCAAAACTGCTCTATGAAAAGCAATGTTAAACTCTGTGGCTCGAACACAAACATCACAAAGCAGTTTCTGAGAATGCTTCAGTTTAGTTTTTCTGTGGAAATATTCCCGTTTCCAAAGAAATCTTCAAAGAGGTCCACGTGTCCACTTACAGATTCTACAAAAAGACAGTTTCAAAACTGCTCCATCAAAAGGAGGGTTCAACTGTGTGACTTGAATGCAATCATCACTCAGAAGTTTCTGAGAATGCTTCTCTTTAGTTTTTACGTGAACATATACCCGTTTCGAACGAAGGCCACCCAGTGGTCCAAATATCCACTTGCAGATTCTACAGAAAGAGTGTTTCGAACCTGAACTCTCAAAGGCAGGTTCATCTCTGCGAGTTAAATGCATTCATCATGAAGAACTTTCTCAGAGTGTTTGTGTTTAGTTATGGGAAATTATTCCCGTTTCCAACGAAATCCTCAGAGAGCTCCAAATATCCACCTGCAGATTCTACCAAAAGCGTATTTGGAAACTGCTCCATCAAAAGGCATGTTCAGCTCTGTGAGTGAAACTCCATCATCACAAAGAATATTCTGAGAATGCTTCCGTTTGCCTTTTATATGAAGTTCCTTCCTGTACTACCGTAGGCCTCAAAGCAGTCCAAATCTCCATTTGCAGATTCTACAAAAAGAGTGATTCCAATCTGCTCTATCAATAGGATTGTTCAACTCCATGAGTTGAATGCCATCCTCACAAAGTAGTTTCTGAGAATGCTTCTATCTGGTTTTTGTGTGAAGATATTTCCTTTTCCACCACAGGCCTCAAAGCCCTCCAAACGTCCACTTGCAGATTCTCGAAAAAGAGTGTTTCATAGCTGCTCTTTCAAAAGGAAAGTTCAACTCTGGGAGTTGAATACAAACATCACAAAGTAGTTTCCGAGAATGCTTCTGTTTAGTTTTTATATGAAGATGATCCCGTTTCCAGTGAAATCTTCAAAGAGGTCCACATATCCCCTTGCAGATTCCAAAGAAAGAGGGTTTCAAAACTGCTCCATCAGAAGGATTGTTCAACTCTGTGAGTTGAATGCAGTCATCGCAGAAAACTTTCTGAGAATGCTTCTGTCTAGGTTTGATGTGAAGATATAGACGTTTCAAACGAAGGCTACAAAGTGGTCAAAATATACACTTGCAGATTCTACTACAAGGGTGTTGCAAACCTGAACTATCAAAGGAAGGTTCAACTCTGTGAGTTGAATACAAACATCACAAAGAATGTTCTGAGTTTGCTTCCGTTCAGTTATGGGAAGTTGATCCCGTTTCCAACGAAATCCTCAGAGAGGTCCAAATATCCCCTCACAGATTCTACAAAACGTGTGTTTGGAAACTGCTCCATCATAACGAATGTTCAGCTCCCTGAGTTAAACTCCATCGTCACAAAGAATTTTCTGATAGTGCTACCGTCTGGTTTTTATATGAAGTTCTTTCCTTCACTACCACAGGCCTCAAAGCGGTCCAAATCTCCACTTGCAGATTCTACAAAAAGAGTGTTTGCAAACTGCTCTATCAAAAGGAATGTTCAACTCTGGGAGTTGAATGCAATCATCACAGAGCAGTTTCTGAGAATGCTTCTATGTCGTTTTTAGGAGAAGATATTTCCTTTTCCAACACAGTCCTCCAAGCCCGCTAAATAGCCACTTGCACATTGTAGAAAAAGTGTGTCAAAGCTGCGCTATCAAAGGGAAAGTTCAACTCTGTGAGGTGAATGCAAACATCCCAAAGAAGTTTCTGAGAATGCTTCCGTTTAGCTTTTAGGTGAAGATTATCCCGTTTCCAACGAAACCTTCAAAGAGGTCCAAATATCCCCTTGCGGATCCCACAGAAAGAGTGTTTCGAAACTGCTGTTTCAAAAGGAATGTTCAACTCTGTGAGTTGAATGCAATCATCACAAAGAAGTTTCTGACAATGCTTCTCTCTCGTCTTTCTGTGAAGATAAAGGAAAAGGCTTTCAGGCCTTTTCCACCACAGGCCTGAAAGCGCTCCAAATGTCCACTTGCAGATTCTGCGAAAAGAATATTTCAAAACTGCTCTATGAAAAGCAATGTTAAACTCTGTGGCTCGAACACAAACATCACAAAGCAGTTTCTGAGAATGCTTCAGTTTAGTTTTTCTGTGGAAATATTACCGTTTCCAAAGAAATCTTCAAAGAGGTCCACGTATCCACTTACAGATTCTACAAAAAGACAGTTTCAAAACTGCTCCATCAAAAGGAGGGTTCAACTGTGTGACTTGAATGCAATCATCACTCAGAAGTTTCTGAGAATGCTTCTCTTTAGTTTTTACGTGAACATATACCCGTTTCGAACGAAGGCCACCCAGTGGTCCAAATATCCACTTGCAGATTCTACAGAAAGAGTGTTTCGAACCTGAACTCTCAAAGGAAGGTTCATCTCTGCGAGTTAAATGCATTCATCATGAAGAACTTTCTCAGAGTATTTGTGTTTAGTTATGGGAAATTATTCCCGTTTCCAAAGAAATCCTCAAAGAGCTCCAAATATCCACCTGCAGATTCTACCAAAAGTGTATTTGGAAACTGCTCCATCAAAAGGCATGTTCAGCTCTGTGAGTGAAACTCCATCATCACAAAGAATATTCTGAGAATGCTTCCGTTTGCCTTTTATATGAAGTTCCTTCCTGTACTACCGTAGGCCTCAAAGCAGTCCAAATCTCCATTTGCAGATTCTACAAAAAGAGTGATTCCAATCTGCTCTATCAATAGGATTGTTCAACTCCATGAGTTGAATGCCATCCTCACAAAGTAGTTTCTGAGAATGCTTCTATCTGGTTTTTGTGTGAAGATATTTCCTTTTCCACCACAGGCCTCAAAGCCCTCCAAACGTCCACTTGCAGATTCTCGAAAAAGAGTGTTTCATAGCTGCTCTTTCAAAAGGAAAGTTCAACTCTGGGAGTTGAATACAAACATCACAAAATAGTTTCCGAGAATGCTTCTGTTTAGTTCTTATGTGAAGATGATCCCGTTTCCAGTGAAATCTTCAAAGAGGTCCACATATCCCCTTGCAGATTCCAAAGAAAGAGGGTTTCAAAACTGCTCCATCAAAAGGATTGTTCAACTCTGTGAGTTGAATGCAGTCATCGCAGAAAACTTTCTGAGAATGCTTCTGTCTAGGTTTGATGTGAAGATATAGACGTTTCAAACGAAGGCTACAAAGTGGTCAAAATATACACTTGCAGATTCTACTACAAGGGTGTTGCAAACCTGAACTATCAAAGGAAGGTTCAACTCTGTGGGTTGAATACAAACATCACAAAGAATGTTCTGAGTTTGCTTCCGTTCAGTTATGGGAAGTTGATCCCCTTCCCAACGAAATCCTCAGAGAGGTCCAAATATTCCCTTGCAGATTCTACAAAACGTGTGTTTGGAAACTGCTCCATCATAACGAATGTTCAGCTCTCTGAGTTAAACTCCATCGTCACAAAGAATTTTCTGAGAGTGCTACCGTCTAGTTTTTATATGAAGTTCTTTCCTTTACTACCACAGGCCTCAAAGCGGTCCAAATCTCCACTTGCAGATTCTACAAAAAGAGTGTCTGCAAACTGCTCTATCAAAAGGAATGTTCAACTCTGGGAGTTGAATGCAATCATCACAGAGCAGTTTCTGAGAAGGCTTCTATGTCGTTTTTAGGAGAAGATATTTCCTTTTCCAACACAGTCCTCCAAGCCCGCTAAATATCCACTTGCACATTGTAGAAAAAGTGTGTCGAAGCTGCGCTATCAAAGGGAAAGTTCAACTCTGTGAGGTGAATGCAAACATCCCAAAGAAGTTTCTGAGAATGCTTCCGTTTAGCTTTTAGGTGAAGATTATCCCGTTTCCAACGAAAGCTTCAAAGAGGTCCAAATATCCCCTTGCGGATCCCACAGAAAGAGTGTTTCGAAACTGCTGTTTCAAAAGGAATCTTCAACTCTGTGAGTTGAATGCAATCATCACAAAGAAGTTTCTGACAATGCTTCTCTCTCGTCTTTCTGTGAAGATAAAGGAAAAGGCTTTCAGGTCTTTTCCACCACAGGCCTGAAAGCGCTCCAAATGTCCACTTGCAGATTCTGCCAAAAGAATATTTCAAAACTGCTCTATGAAAAGCAATGTTAAACTCTGCGGCTCGAACACAAACATCACAAAACAGTTTCTGAGAATGCTTCAGTTTAGTTTTTCTGTGGAAATATTCCCGTTTCCAAAGAAATCTTCAAAGAGGTCCACGTATCCACTTACAGATTCTACAAAAAGACAGTTTCAAAACTGCTCAATCAAAAGGAGGGTTCAACTGTGTGACTTGAATGCAATCATCACTCAGAAGTTTCTGAGAATGCTTCTCTTTAGTTTTTACGTGAACATATACCCGTTTCGAACGAAGGCCACCCAGTGGTCCAAATATCCACTTGCAGATTCTACAGAAAGAGTGTTTCGAACCTGAACTCTCAAAGGCAAGTTCATCTCTGCGAGTTAAATGCATTCGTCATGAAGAACTTTCTCAGCGTGTTTGTGTTTAGTTATGGGAAATTATTCCCGTTCCCAAAGAAATCCTCAGAGAGGTCCAAATGTCCACCTGCAGATTCTACCAAAAGTGTATTGGGAAACTGCTCCATCAACAGGCATGTTCAGCTCTGTGAGTGAAACTCCATCATCACAAAGAATATTCTGAGAATGCTTCCGTTTGCCTTTTATATGAAGTTCCTTCCTATACGACCGTAGGCCTCAAAGCAGTCCAAATCTCCATTTGCAGATTCTACAAAAAGAGTGATTCCAATCTGCTCTATCAATAGGATTGTTCAACTCCATGAGTTGAATGCCATCCTCACAAAGTCGTTTCTGAGAATGCTTCTATCTAGTTTTTATGTGAAGATATTTCCTTTTCCACCACAGGCCTCAAAGCCCTCCAAACGTCCACTTGCAGATTCTCGAAAAAGAGTGTTTCATAGCTGCTCTTTCAAAAGGAAAGTTCAACTCTGGGAGTTGAATACAAACATCACAAAGTAGTTTCCGAGAATGCTTCTGTTTAGTTTTTATGTGAAGATGATCCCGTTTCCAGTGAAATCTTCAAAGAGGTCCACATATCCCCTTGCAGATTCCAAAGAAAGAGGGTTTCAAAAACTGCTCCATCAGAAGGATTGTTCAACTCTGTGAGTTGAATGCAGTCATCGCAGAAAACTTTCTGAGAATGCTTCTGTCTAGGTTTGATGTGAAGATATAGACGTTTCAAACGAAGGCTACAAAGTGGTCAAAATATACACTTGCAGATTCTACTACAAGGGTGTTGCAAACCTGAACTATCAAAGGAAGGTTCAACTCTGTGAGTTGAATACAAACATCGCAAAGAATGCTCTGAGTTTGCTTCCGTTCAGTTATGGGAAGTTGATCCCGTTTCCAACGAAATCCTCAGAGAGGTCCAAATATCCCCTTGCAGATTCTACAAAACGTGTGTTTGGAAACTGCTCCATCATAACGAATGTTCAGCTCTCTGAGTTAAACTCCATCGTCACAAAGAATTTTCTGAGAGTGCTACCGTCTAGTTTTTATATGAAGTTCTTTCCTTTACTACCACAGGCCTCAAAGCGGTCCAAATCTCCACTTGCAGATTCTACAAAAAGAGTGTTTGCAAACTGCTCTATCAAAAGGAATGTTCAACTCCTGGGAGTTGAATGCAATCATCACAGAGCAGTTTGCTGAGAATGCTTCTATGTCGTTTTTAGGAGAAGATATTTCCTTTTCCAACACAGTCCTCCAAGCCCGCTAAATATCCACTTGCACATTGTAGAAAAAGTGTGTCGAAGCTGCGCTATCAAAGGGAAAGTTCAACTCTGTGAGGTGAATGCAAACATCCCAAAGAAGTTTCTGAGAATGCTTCCGTTTAGCTTTTAGGTGAAGATTATCCCGTTTCCAACGAAACCTTCAAAGAGGTCCAAATATCCCCTTGCGGATCCCACAGAAAGAGTGTTTCGAAACTGCTGTTTCAAAAGGAATCTTCAACTCTGTGAGTTGAATGCAATCATCACAAAGAAGTTTCTGACAATGCTTCTCTCTCGTCTTTCTGTGAAGATAAAGGAAAAGGCTTTCAGGCCTTTTCCACCACAGGCCTGAAAGCGCTCCAAATGTCCACTTGCAGATTCTGCCAAAAGAATATTTCAAAACTGCTCTATGAAAAGCAATGTTAAACTCTGCGGCTCGAACACAAACATCACAAAGCAGTTTCTGAGAATGCTTCAGTTTAGTTTTTCTGTGGAAATATTCCCGTTTCCAAAGAAATCTTCAAAGAGGTCCACGCATCCACTTACAGATTCTACAAAAAGACAGTTTCAAAACTGCTCAATCAAAACGAGGGTTCAACTGTGTGACTTGAATGCAATCATCACTCAGAAGTTTCTGAGAATGCTTCTCTTTAGTTTTTACGTGAACATATACCCGTTTCGAACGAAGGCCACCCAGTGGTCCAAATATCCACTTGCAGATTATATAGAAAGAGTGTTTCGAACCTGAACTCTCAAAGGCAGGTTCATCTCTGCGAGTTAAATGCATTCATCATGAAGAACTTTCTCAGAGTGTTTGTGTTTAGTTATGGGAAATTATTCCCGTTTCCAACGAAATCCTCAGAGAGCTCCAAATATCCACCTGCAGATTCTACCAAAAGTGTATTTGGAAACTGCTCCATCAAAAGGCATGTTCAGCTCTGTGAGTGAAACTCCATCATCACAAAGAATATTCTGAGAATGCTTCCGTTTGCCTTTTATATGAAGTTCCTTCCTGTACTACCGTAGGCCTCAAAGCAGTCCAAATCTCCATTTGCAGATTCTACAAAAAGAGTGATTCCAATCTGCTCTATCAATAGGATTGTTCAACTCCATGAGTTGAATGCCATCCTCACAAAGCAGTTTCTGAGAATGCTTCTATCTGGTTTTTGTGTGAAGATATTTCCTTTTCCACCACAGGCCTCAAAGCCCTCCAAACGTCCACTTGCAGATTCTCGAAAAAGAGTGTTTCATAGCTGCTCTTTCAAAAGGAAAGTTCAACTCTGGGAGTTGAATACAAACATCACAAAGTAGTTTCCGAGAATGCTTCTGTTTAGTTTTTATGTGAAGATGATCCCGTTTCCAGTGAAATCTTCAAAGAGGTCCACATATCCCCTTGCAGATTCCAAAGAAAGAGGGTTTCAAAACTGCTCCATCAGAAGGATTATTCAACTCTGTGAGTTGAATGCAGTCATCGCAGAAAACTTTCTGAGAATGCTTCTGTCTAGGTTTGATGTGAAGATATAGACGTTTCAAACGAAGGCTACAAAGTGGTCAAAATATACACTTGCAGATTCTACTACAAGGGTGTTGCAAACCTGAACTATCAAAGGAAGGTTCAACTCTGTGAGTTGAATACAAACATCACAAAGAATGTTCTGAGTTTGCTTCCGTTCAGTTATGGGAAGTTGATCCCGTTTCCAACGAAATCCTCAGAGAGGTCCAAATATCCCCTCGCAGATTCTACAAAACGTGTGTTTGGAAACTGCTCCATCATAACGAATGTTCAGCTCCCTGAGTTAAACTCCATCGTCACAAAGAATTTTCTGAGAGTGCTACCGTCTGGTTTTTATATGAAGTTCTTTCCTTCACTACCACAGGCCTCAAAGCGGTCCAAATCTCCACTTGCAGATTCTACAAAAAGAGTGTTTGCAAACTGCTCTATCAAAAGGAATGTTCAACTCTGGGAGTTGAATGCAATCATCACAGAGCAGTTTCTGAGAATGCTTCTATGTCGTTTTTAGGAGAAGATATTTCCTTTTCCAACACAGTCCTCCAAGCCCGCTAAATATCCACTTGCACATTGTAGAAAAAGTGTGTCGAAGCTGCGCTATCAAAGGGAAAGTTCAACTCTGTGAGGTGAATGCAAACATCCCAAAGAAGTTTCTGAGAATGCTTCCGTTTAGCTTTAAGTGAAGATTATCCCGTTTCCAACGAAATCTTCAAAGAGGTCCAAATATCCCCTTGCGGATCCCACAGAAAGAGTGTTTCGAAACTGCTGTTTCAAAAGGAATCTTCAACTCTGTGAGTTGAATGCAATCATCACAAAGAAGTTTCTGACAATGCTTCTCTCTCGTCTTTCTGTGAAGATAAAGGAAAAGGCTTTCAGGCCATTTCCACCACAGGCCTGAAAGCGCTCCAAATGTCCACTTGCAGATTCTGCCAAAAGAATATTTCAAAACTGCTCTATGAAAAGCAATGTTAAACTCTGCGGCTCGAACACAAACATCACAAAGCAGTTTCTGAGAATGCTTCAGTTTAGTTTTTCTGTGGAAATATTCCCGTTTCCAAAGAAATCTTCAAAGAGGTCCACGCATCCACTTACAGATTCTACAAAAAGACAGTTTCAAAACTGCTCAATCAAAAGGAGGGTTCAACTGTGTGACTTGAATGCATTCATCACTCAGAAGTTTCTGAGAACGCTTCTCTTTAGTTTTTACGTGAACATATACCCGTTTCGAATGAAGGCCAGCCAGTGGTCCAAATATCCACTTGCAGATTCTACAGAAAGAGTGTTTTGAACCTGAACTCTCAAAGGCAGGTTCATCTCTGCGAGTTAAATGCATTCATCATGAAGAACTTTCTCAGCGTGTTTGTGTTTAGTTATGGGAAATTATTCCCGTTTCCAACGAAATCCTCAGAGAGCTCCAAATATCCACCTGCAGATTCTACCAAAAGTGTATTTGGAAACTGCTCCATGAAAAGGCATGTTCAGCTCTGTGAGTGAAACTCCGTCATCACAAAGAATATTCTGAGAATGCTTCCGTTTGCCTTTTATATGAAGTTCCTTCCTATACTACCGTAGGCCTCAAAGCAGTCCAAATCTCCATTTGCAGATTCTACAAAAAGAGTGATTCCAATCTGCTCTATCAATAGGATTGTTCAACTCCATGAGTTGAATGCCATCCTCACAAAGTCGTTTCTGAGAATGCTTCTATCTAGTTTTTATGTGAAGATATTTCCTTTTCCACCACAGGCCTCAAAGCCCTCCAAACGTCCACTTGCAGATTCTCGAAAAAGAGTGTTTCATAGCTGCTCTTTCAAAAGGAAAGTTCAACTCTGGGAGTTGAATACAAACATCACAAAGTAGTTTCCGAGAATGCTTCTGTTTAGTTTTTATGTGAAGATGATCCCGTTTCCAGTGAAATCTTCAAAGAGGTCCACATATCCCCTTGCAGATTCCAAAGAAAGAGGGTTTCAAAACTGCTCCATCAGAAGGATTGTTCAACTCTGTGAGTTGAATGCAGTCATCGCAGAAAACTTTCTGAGAATGCTTCTTTCTAGGTTTGATGTGAAGATATAGACGTTTCAAACGAAGGCTACAAAGTGGTCAAAATATACACTTGCAGATTCTACTACAAGGGTGTTGCAAACCTGAACTATCAAAGGAAGGTTCAACTCTGTGAGTTGAATACAAACATCACAAAGAATGTTCTGAGTTTGCTTCCGTTCAGTTATGGGAAGTTGATCCCGTTTCCAACGAAATCCTCAGAGAGGTCCAAATATCCCCTTGCAGATTCTACAAAACGTGTGTTTGGAAACTGCTCCATCATAACGAATGTTCAGCTCCCTGAGTTAAACTCCATCGTCACAAAGAATTTTCTGAGAGTGCTACCGTCTGGTTTTTATATGAAGCTCTTTCCTTCACTACCACAGGCCTCAAAGCGGTCCAAATCTCCACTTCCAGATTCTACAAAAAGAGTGTTTGCAAACTGCTCTATCAAAAGGAATGTTCAACTCTGGGAGTTGAATGCAATCATCACAGAGCAGTTTCTGAGAATGCTTCTATGTCGTTTTTAGGAGAAGATATTTCCTTTTCCAACACAGTCCTCCAAGCCCGCTAAATAGCCACTTGCACATTGTAGAAAAAGTGTGTCAAAGCTGCGCTATCAAAGGGAAAGTTCAACTCTGTGAGGTGAATGCAAACATCCCAAAGAAGTTTCTGAGAATGCTTCCGTTTAGCTTTTAGGTGAAGATTATCCCGTTTCCAACGAAACCTTCAAAGAGGTCCAAATATCCCCTTGCGGATCCCACAGAAAGAGTGTTTCGAAACTGCTGTTTCAAAAGGAATCTTCAACTCTGTGAGTTGAATGCAATCATCACAAAGAAGTTTCTGACAATGCTTCTCTCTCGTCTTTCTGTCAAGATAAAGGAAAAGGCTTTCAGGCCTTTTCCACCACAGGCCTGAAAGCGCTCCAAATGTCCACTTGCAGATTCTGCGAAAAGAATATTTCAAAACTGCTCTATGAAAAGCAATGTTAAACTCTGTGGCTGGAACACAAACATCACAAAGCGGTTTCTGAGAATGTTTCAGTTTAGTTTTTCTGTGGAAATATTCCCGTTTCCAAAGAAATCTTCAAAGAGGTCCACGTATCCACTTACAGATTCTACAAAAAGACAGTTTCAAAACTGCTCCATCAAAAGGAGGGTTCAACTGTGTGACTTGAATGCAATCATCACTCAGAAGTTTCTGAGAATGCTTCTCTTTAGTTTTTACGTGAACATATACCCGTTTCGAACGAAGGCCACCCAGTGGTCCAAATATCCACTTGCAGATTCTACAGAAAGAGTGTTTCGAACCTGAACTCTCAAAGGCAGGTTCATCTCTGCAAGTTAAATGCATTCATCATGAAGAACTTTCTCAGAGTGTTTGTGTTTAGTTATGGGAAATTATTCCCGTTTCCAACGAAATCCTCAGAGAGCTCCAAATATCCACCTGCTGATTCTACCAAAAGTGTATTTGGAAACTGCTCCATCAAAAGGCATGTTCAGCTCTGTGAGTGAAACTCCATCATCACAAAGAATATTCTGAGAATGCTTCCGTTTGCCTTTTATATGAAGTTCCTTCCTATACGACCGTAGGCCTCAAAGCAGTCCAAATCTCCATTTGCAGATTCTACAAAAAGAGTGATTCCAATCTGCTCTATCAATAGGATTGTTCAACTCCATGAGTTGAATGCCATCCTCACAAAGTCGTTTCTGAGAATGCTTCTATCTAGTTTTTATGTGAAGATATTTCCTTTTCCACCACAGGCCTCAAAGCCCTCCAAACGTCCACTTGCAGATTCTCGAAAAAGAGTGTTTCATAGCTGCTCTTTCAAAAGGAAAGTTCAACTCTGGGAGTTGAATACAAACATCACAAAGTAGTTTCCGAGAATGCTTCTGTTTAGTTTTTATGTGAAGATGATCCCGTTTCCAGTGAAATCTTCAAAGAGGTCCACATATCCCCTTGCAGATTCCAAAGAAAGAGGGTTTCAAAACTGCTCCATCAGAAGGATTGTTCAACTCTGTGAGTTGAATGCAGTCATCGCAGAAAACTTTCTGAGAATGCTTCTGTCTAGGTTTGATGTGAAGATATAGACGTTTCAAACGAAGGCTACAAAGTGGTCAAAATATACACTTGCAGATTCTACTACAAGGGTGTTGCAAACCTGAACTATCAATGGAAGGTTCAACTCTGTGAGTTGAATACAAACATCACAAAGAATGTTCTGAGTTTGCTTCCGTTCAGTTATGGGAAGTTGATCCCGTTTCCAACCAAATCCTCAGAGAGGTCCAAATATCCCCTTGCAGATTCTACAAAACGTGTGTTTGGAAACTGCTCCATCATAACGAATGTTCAGCTCCCTGAGTTAAACTCCATCGTCACAAAGAATTTTCTGAGAGTGCTACCGTCTGGTTTTTATATGAAGCTCTTTCCTTCACTACCACAGGCCTCAAAGCGGTCCAAATCTCCACTTGCAGATTCTACAAAAAGAGTGTTTGCAAACTGCTCTATCAAAAGGAATGTTCAACTCTGGGAGTTGAATGCAATCATCACAGAGCAGTTTCTGAGAATGCTTCTATGTCGTTTTTAGGAGAAGATATTTCCTTTTCCAACACAGTCCTCCAAGCCCGCTAAATAGCCACTTGCACATTGTAGAAAACGTGTGTCAAAGCTGCGCTATCAAAGGGAAAGTTCAACTCTGTGAGGTGAATGCAAACATCCCAAAGAAGTTTCTGAGAATGCTTCCGTTTAGCTTTTAGGTGAAGATTATCCCGTTTCCAACGAAACCTTCAAAGAGGTCCAAATATCCCCTTGCGGATCCCACAGAAAGAGTGTTTCGAAACTGCTGTTTCAAAAGGAATCTTCAACTCTGTGAGTTGAATGCAATCATCACAAAGAAGTTTCTGACAATGCTTCTCTCTCGTCTTTCTGTGAAGATAAAGGAAAAGGCTTTCAGGCCTTTTCCACCACAGGCCTGAAAGCGCTCCAAATGTCCACTTGCAGATTCTGCCAAAAGAATATTTCAAAACTGCTCTATGAAAAGCAATGTTAAACTCTGTGGCTCGAACACAAACATCACAAAGCGGTTTCTGAGAATGCTTCAGTTTAGTTTTTCTGTGGAAATATTCCCGTTTCCAAAGAAATCTTCAAAGAGGTCCACGTATCCACTTACAGATTCTACAAAAAGACAGTTTCAAAACTGCTCCATCAAAAGGAGGGTTCAACTGTGTGACTTGAATGCAATCATCACTCAGAAGTTTCTGAGAATGCTTCTCTTTAGTTTTTACGTGAACATATACCCGTTTCGAACGAAGGCCACCCAGTGGTCCAAATATCCACTTGCAGATTCTACAGAAAGAGTGTTTCGAACCTGAACTCTCAAAGGCAGGTTCATCTCTGCGAGTTAAATGCATTCATCATGAAGAACTTTCTCAGAGTGTTTGTGTTTAGTTATGGGAAATTATTCCCGTTTCCAACGAAATCCTCAGAGAGGTCCAAATATCCACCTGCAGATTCTACCAAAAGTGTATTTGGAAACTGCTCCATCAAAAGGCATGTTCAGCTCTGTGAGTGAAACTCCATCATCACAAAGAATATTCTGAGAATGCTTCCGTTTGCCTTTTATATGAAGTTCCTTCCTATACGACCGTAGGCCTCAAAGCAGTCCAAATCTCCATTTGCAGATTCTACAAAAAGAGTGATTCCAATCTGCTCTATCAATAGGATTGTTCAACTCCATGAGTTGAATGCCATCCTCACAAAGTAGTTTCTGAGAATGCTTCTATCTAGTTTTTATGTGAAGGTATTTCCTTTTCCACCACAGGCCTCCAAGCCCTCCAAACGTCCACTTGCAGATTCTCGAAAAAGAGTGTTTCATAGCTGCTCTTTCAAAAGGAAAGTTCAACTCTGGGAGTTGAATACAAACATCACAAAGTAGTTTCCGAGAATGCTTCTGTTTAGTTTTTATGTGAAGATGATCCCGTTTCCAGTGAAATCTTCAAAGAGGTCCACATATCCCCTTGCAGATTCCAAAGAAAGAGGGTTTCAAAACTGCTCCATCAGAAGGATTGTTCAACTCTGTGAGTTGAATGCAGTCATCGCAGAAAACTTTCTGAGAATGCTTCTGTCTAGGTTTGATGTGAAGATATAGACGTTTCAAATGAAGGCTACAAAGTGGTCAAAATATACACTTGCAGATTCTACTACAAGGGTGTTGCAAACCTGAACTATCAAAGGAAGGTTCAACTCTGTGAGTTGAATACAAACATCACAAAGAATGTTCTGAGTTTGCTTCCGTTCAGTTATGGGAAGTTGATCCCGTTTCCAACGAAATCCTCAGAGAGGTCCAAATATCCCCTTGCAGATTCTACAAAACGTGTGTTTGGAAACTGCTCCATCATAACGAATGTTCAGCTCCCTGAGTTAAACTCCATCGTCACAAAGAATTTTCTGAGAGTGCTACCGTCTGGTTTTTATATGAAGTTCTTTCCTTCACTACCACAGGCCTCAAAGCGGTCCAAATCTCCACTTGCAGATTCTACAAAAAGAGTGTTTGCAAACTGCTCTATCAAAAGGAATGTTCAACTCTGGGAGTTGAATGCAATCATCACAGAGCAGTTTCTGAGAATGCTTCTATGTCGTTTTTAGGAGAAGATATTTCCTTTTCCAACACAGTCCTCCAAGCCCGCTAAATAGCCACTTGCACATTGTAGAAAACGTGTGTCAAAGCTGCGCTATCAAAGGGAAAGTTCAACTCTGTGAGGTGAATGCAAACATCCCAAAGAAGTTTCTGAGAATGCTTCCGTTTAGCTTTTAGGTGAAGATTATCCCGTTTCCAACGAAACCTTCAAAGAGGTCCAAATATCCCCTTGCGGATCCCACAGAAAGAGTGTTTCGAAACTGCTGTTTCAAAAGGAATCTTCAACTCTGTGAGTTGAATGCAATCATCACAAAGAAGTTTCTGACAATGCTTCTCTCTCGTCTTTCTGTGAAGATAAAGGAAAAGGCTTTCAGGCCTTTTCCACCACAGGCCTGAAAGCGCTCCAAATGTCCACTTGCAGATTCTGCCAAAAGAATATTTCAAAACTGCTCTATGAAAAGCAATGTTAAACTCTGTGGCTCGAACACAAACATCACAAAGCGGTTTCTGAGAATGCTTCAGTTTAGTTTTTCTGTGGAAATATTCCCGTTTCGAAAGAAATCTTCAAAGAGGTCCACGTATCCACTTACAGATTCTACAAAAAGACAGTTTCAAAACTGCTCCATCAAAAGGAGGGTTCAACTGTGTGACTTGAATGCAATCATCACTCAGAAGTTTCTGAGAACGCTTCTGTTTAGTTTTTACGTGAACATATAGCCGTTTCGAACGAAGGCCACCCAGTGGTCCAAATATCCACTTGCAGATTCTACAGAAAGAGTGTTTCGAACCTGAACTCTCAAAGGCAGGTTCATCTCTGCGAGTTCAATGCATTCATCATGAAGAACTTTCTCAGCGTGTTTGTGTTTAGTTATGGGAAATTATTCCCGTTTCCAACGAAATCCTCAGAGAGCTCCAAATATCCACCTGCAGATTCTACCAAAAGTGTATTTGGAAACTGCTCCATGAAAAGGCATGTTCAGCTCTGTGAGTGAAACTCCGTCATCACAAAGAATATTCTGAGAATGCTTCCGTTTGCCTTTTATATGATGTTCCTTCCTGTACTACCGTAGGCCTCAAAGCAGTCCAAATCTCCATTTGCAGATTCTACAAAAAGAGTGATTCCAATCTGCTGTATCAATAGGATTGTTCAACTCCATGAGTTGAATGCCATCCTCACAAAGTCGTTTCTGAGAATGCTTCTATCTGGTTTTTGTGTGAAGATATTTCCTTTTCCACCACAGGCCTCAAAGCCCTCCAAACGTCCACTTGCAGATTCTCGAAAAAGAGTGTTTCATAGCTGCTCTTTCAAAAGGAAAGTTCAACTCTGGGAGTTGAATACAAACATCACAAAATAGTTTCCGAGAATGCTTCTGTTTAGTTTTTATGTGAAGATGATCCCGTTTCCAGTGAAATCTTCAAAGAGGTCCACATATCCCCTTGCAGATTCCAAAGAAAGAGGGTTTAAAAACTGCTCCATCAGAAGGATTGTTCAACTCTGTGAGTTGAATGCAGTCATCGCAGAAAACTTTCTGAGAATGCTTCTGTCTAGGTTTGATGTGAAGATATAGACGTTTCAAACGAAGGCTACAAAGTGGTCAAAATATACACTTGCAGATTCTACTACAAGGGTGTTGCAAACCTGAACTATCAAAGGAAGGTTCAACTCTGTGAATTGAATACAAACATCACAAAGAATGTTCTGAGTTTGCTTCCGTTCAGTTATGGGAAGTTGATCCCGTTTCCAACGAAATCCTCAGAGAGGTCCAAATATCCCCTTGCAGATTCTACAAAACGTGTGTTTGGAAACTGCTCCATCATAACGAATGTTCAGCTCCCTGAGTTAAACTCCATCGTCACAAAGAATTTTCTGAGAGTGCTACCGTGTGGTTTTTATATGAAGTTCTTTCCTTCACTACCACAGACCTCAAAGCGGTCCAAATCTCCACTTGCAGATTCTACAAAAAGAGTGTTTGCAAACTGCTCTATCAAAAGGAATGTTCAACTCTGGGAGTTGAATGCAATCATCACAGAGCAGTTTCTGAGAATGCTTCTATGTCGTTTTTAGGAGAAGATATTTCCTTTTCCAACACAGTCCTCCAAGCCCGCTAAATAGCCACTTGCACATTGTAGAAACAGTGTGTCAAAGCTGCGCTATCAAAGGGAAAGTTCAACTCTGTGAGGTGAATGCAAACATCCCAAAGAAGTTTCTGAGAATGCTTCCGTTTAGCTTTTAGGTGAAGATTATCCCGTTTCCAACGAAACCTTCAAAGAGGTCCAAATATCCCCTTGCGGATCCCACAGAAAGAGTGTTTCGAAACTGCTGTTTCAAAAGGAATCTTCAACTCTGTGAGTTGAATGCAATCATCACAAAGAAGTTTCTGACAATGCTTCTCTCTCGTCTTTCTGTGAAGATAAAGGAAAAGGCTTTCAGGCCTTTTCCACCACAGGCCTGAAAGCGCTCCAAATGTCCACTTGCAGATTCTGCCAAAAGAATATTTCAAAACTGCTCTATGAAAAGCAATGTTAAACTCTGTGGCTCGAACACAAACATCACAAAGCGGTTTCTGAGAATGCTTCAGTTTAGTTTTTCTGTGGAAATATTCCCGTTTCCAAAGAAATCTTCAAAGAGGTCCACGTATCCACTTACAGATTCTACAAAAAGACAGTTTCAAAACTGCTCCATCAAAAGGAGGGTTCAACTGTGTGACTTGAATGCAATCATCACTCAGAAGTTTCTGAGAATGCTTCTCTTTAGTTTTTACGTGAACATATTCCCGTTTCGAACGAAGGCCACCCAGTGTTCCAAATATCCACTTGCAGATTCTACAAGAAGAGTGTTTCGAACATGAACTCTCAAAGGCAGGTTCATCTCTGCGAGTTAAATGCATTCATCATGAAGAACTTTCTCAGAGTGTTTGTGTTTAGTTATGGGAAATTATTCCCGTTTCCAACGAAATCCTCAGAGAGCTCCAAATGTCCACCTGCAGATTCTACCAAAAGTGTATTTGGAAACTGCTCCATCAAAAGGCAAGTTCAGCTCTGTGAGTGAAACTCCATCATCACAAAGAATATTCTGAGAATGCTTCCGTTTGCCTTTTATATGAAGTTCCTTCCTGTACTACCGTAGTCCTCAAAGCAGTCCAAATCTCCATTTGCAGATTCTATAAAAAGAGTGATTCCAATCTGCTCTATCAATAGGATTGTTCAACTCCATGAGTTGAATGCCATCCTCACAAAGTAGTTTCTGAGAATGCTTCTATCTGGTTTTTGTGTGAAGATATTTCCTTTTCCACCACAGGCCTCAAAGCCCTCCAAACGTCCACTTGCAGATTCTCGAAAAAGAGTGTTTCATAGCTGCTCTTTCAAAAGGAAAGTTCAACTCTGGGAGTTGAATACAAACATCACAAAGTAGTTTCCGAGAATGCTTCTGTTTAGTTTTTATGTGAAGATGATCGATCCCGTTTCCAGTGAAATCTTCAAAGAGGTCCACATATCCCCTTGCAGATTCCAAAGAAAGAGGGTTTCAAAACTGCTCCATCAGAAGGATTGTTCAACTCTGTGAGTTGAATGCAGTCATCGCAGAAAACTTTCTGAGAATGCTTCTGTCTAGGTTTGATGTGAAGATATAGACGTTTCAAACGAAGGCTACAAAGTGGTCAAAATATACACTTGCAGATTCTACTACAAGGGTGTTGCAAACCTGAACTATCAAAGGAAGGTTCAACTCTGTGAGTTGAATACAAACATCACAAAGAATGTTCTGAGTTTGCTACCGTCTGGTTTTTATATGAAGTTCTTTCCTTCTCTACCACAGGCCTCAAAGCGGTCCAAATCTCCACTTGCAGATTCTACAAAAAGAGTGTTTGCAAACTGCTCTATCAAAAGGAATGTTCAACTCTGGGAGTTGAATGCAATCATCACAGAGCAGTTTCTGAGAATGCTTCTATGTCGTTTTTAGGAGAAGATATTTCCTTTTCCAACACAGTCCTCCAAGCCCGCTAAATAGCCACTTGCACATTGTAGAAAAAGTGTGTCAAAGCTGCGCTATCAAAGGGAAAGTTCAACTCTGTGAGGTGAATGCAAACATCCCAAAGAAGTTTCTGAGAATGCTTCCGTTTAGCTTTTAGGTGAAGATTATCCCGTTTCCAACGAAACCTTCAAAGAGGTCCAAATATCCCCTTGCGGATCCCACAGAAAGAGTGTTTCGAAACTGCTGTTTCAAAAGGAATCTTCAACTCTGTGAGTTGAATGCAATCATCACAAAGAAGTTTCTGACAATGCTTCTCTCTCGTCTTTCTGTGAAGATAAAGGAAAAGGCTTTCAGGTCTTTTCCACCACAGGCCTGAAAGCGCTCCAAATGTCCACTTGCAGATTCTGCCAAAAGAATATTTCAAAACTGCTCTATGAAAAGCAATGTTAAACTCTGCGGCTCGAACACAAACATCACAAAACAGTTTCTGAGAATGCTTCAGTTTAGTTTTTCTGTGGAAATATTCCCGTTTCCAAAGAAATCTTCAAAGAGGTCCACGTATCCACTTACAGATTCTACAAAAAGACAGTTTCAAAACTGCTCAATCAAAAGGAGGGTTCAACTGTGTGACTTGAATGCAATCATCACTCAGAAGTTTCTGAGAATGCTTCTCTTTAGTTTTTACGTGAACATATACCCGTTTCGAACGAAGGCCACCCAGTGGTCCAAATATCCACTTGCAGATTCTACAGAAAGAGTGTTTCGAACCTGAACTCTCAAAGGCAGGTTCATCTCTGCGAGTTAAATGCATTCGTCATGAAGAACTTTCTCAGCGTGTTTGTGTTTAGTTATGGGAAATTATTCCCTTTCCCAAAGAAATCCTCAGAGAGGTCCAAATGTCCACCTGCAGATTCTACCAAAAGTGTATTTGGAAACTGCTCCATCAACAGGCATGTTCAGCTCTGTGAGTGAAACTCCATCATCACAAAGAATATTCTGAGAATGCTTCCGTTTGCCTTTTATATGAAGTTCCTTCCTATACGACCGTAGGCCTCAAAGCAGTCCAAATCTCCATTTGCAGATTCTACAAAAAGAGTGATTCCAATCTGCTCTATCAATAGGATTGTTCAACTCCATGAGTTGAATGCCATCCTCACAAAGTCGTTTCTGAGAATGCTTCTATCTAGTTTTTATGTGAAGATATTTCCTTTTCCACCACAGGCCTCAAAGCCCTCCAAACGTCCACTTGCAGATTCTCGAAAAAGAGTGTTTCATAGCTGCTCTTTCAAAAGGAAAGTTCAACTCTGGGAGTTGAATACAAACATCACAAAGTAGTTTCCGAGAATGCTTCTGTTTAGTTCTTATGTGAAGATGATCCCGTTTCCAGTGAAATCTTCAAAGAGGTCCACATATCCCCTTGCAGATTCCAAAGAAAGAGGGTTTCAAAACTGCTCCATCAAAAGGATTGTTCAACTCTGTGAGTTGAATGCAGTCATCGCAGAAAACTTTCTGAGAATGCTTCTGTCTAGGTTTGATGTGAAGATATAGACGTTTCAAACGAAGGCTACAAAGTGGTCAAAATATACACTTGCAGATTCTACTACAAGGGTGATGCAAACCTCAACTATCAAAGGAAGGTTCAACTCTGTGAGATGAATGCAACCATCACAAAAAATGTTCTGAGTTTGCTTCCGTTCAGTTATGGGAAATTGATACCGTTTCCAACGAAATCCTCAGAGAGGTCCAAATATCCCCTTGCAGATTCTACAAAACGTGTGTTTGGAAACTGCTCCATCATAACGAATGTTCAGCTCTCTGAGTTAAACTCCATCGTCACAAAGAATTTTCTGAGAGTGCTCTACCGTCTAGTTTTTATATGAGAGCCTTGACAGAAGCCCCATCACCTGGATGATCAGTGCAGAGTTATGTCACAAAGTCCCTTTAGGCAGATCCGAGACAAGAGTTACATCACATGGATGATCAGTGCAGAGATATGTCACAATGCTACTGCAGGCAGAGCCTAGACAACAGTTACATGA
>NC_000023.11:59477828-59487434 GCF_000001405.40 Homo sapiens | reverse complement strand
TCTATGTCGTTTTTAGGAGAAGATATTTCCTTTTCCAACACAGTCTTCCAAGCCCGCTAAATAGCCACTTGCACATTGTAGGAAAAGTGTGTCAAAGCTGCGCTATCAAAGGGAAAGTTCAACTCTGTGAGGTGAATGCAAACATCCCAAAGAAGTTTCTGAGAATGCTTCCGTTTAGCTTTTAGGTGAAGATTATCCCGTTTCCAACGAAACCTTCAAAGAGGTCCAAATATCCCCTTGCGGATCCCACAGAAAGAGTGTTTCGAAACTGCTGTTTCAAAAGGAATCTTCAACTCTGTGAGTTGAATGCAATCATCACAAAGAAGTTTCTGACAATGCTTCTCTCTCGTCTTTCTGTGAAGATAAAGGAAAAGGCTTTCAGGCCTTTTCCACCACAGGCCTGAAAGCGCTCCAAATGTCCACTTGCAGATTCTGCCAAAAGAATATTTCAAAACTGCTCTATGAAAAGCAATGTTAAACTCTGTGGCTCGAACACAAACATCACAAAGCAGTTTCTGAGAATGCTTCAGTTTAGTTTTTCTGTGGAAATATTCCCGTTTCCAAAGAAATCTTCAAAGAGGTCCACGCATCCACTTACAGATTCTACAAAAAGACAGTTTCAAAACTGCTCAATCAAAAGGAGGGTTCAACTGTGTGACTTGAATGCAATCATCACTCAGAAGTTTCTGAGAACGCTTCTCTTTAGTTTTTACGTGAACATATACCCGTTTCGAACGAAGGCCAGCCAGTGGTCCAAATATCCACTTGCAGATTCTACAGAAAGAGTGTTTCGAACCTGAACTCTCAAAGGCAGGTTCATCTCTGCGAGTTAAATGCATTCATCATGAAGAACTTTCTCAGAGTGTTTGTGTTTAGTTATGGGAAATTATTCCCGTTTCCAACGAAATCCTCAGAGAGCTCCAAATATCCACCTGCAGATTCTACCAAAAGTGTATTTGGAAACTGCTCCATCAAAAGGCATGTTCAGCTCTGTGAGTGAAACTCCATCATCACAAAGAATATTCTGAGAATGCTTCCGTTTGCCTTTTATCTGAAGTTCCTTCCTATACGACCGTAGGCCTCAAAGCAGTCCAAATCTCCATTTGCAGATTCTACAAAAAGAGTGATTCCAATCTGCTCTATCAATAGGATTGTTCAACTCCATGAGTTGAATGCCATCCTCACAAAGTAGTTTCTGAGAATGCTTCTATCTAGTTTTTATGTGAAGATATTTCCTTTTCCACCACAGGCCTCAAAGCCCTCCAAACGTCCACTTGCAGATTCTCGAAAAAGAGTGTTTCATAGCTGCTCTTTCAAAAGGAAAGTTCAACTCTGGGAGTTGAATACAAACATCACAAAGTAGTTTCCGAGAATGCTTCTGTTTAGTTTTTATGTGAAGATGACCCCGTTTCCAGTGAAATCATCAAAGAGGTCCACATATCCCCTTGCAGATTCCAAAGAAAGAGGGTTTCAAAACTGCTCCATCAGAAGGATTGTTCAACTCTGTGAGTTGAATGCAGTCATCGCAGAAAACTTTCTGAGAATGCTTCTTTCTAGGTTTGATGTGAAGATATAGACGTTTCAAACGAAGGCTACAAAGTGGTCAAAATATACACTTGCAGATTCTACTACAAGGGTGTTGCAAACCTGAACTATCAAAGGAAGGTTCAACTCTGTGAGTTGAATACAAACATCACAAAGAATGTTCTGAGTTTGCTTCCGTTCAGTTATGGGAAGTTGATCCCGTTTCCAACGAAATCCTCAGAGAGGTCCAAATATCCCCTCGCAGATTCTACAAAACGTGTGTTTGGAAACTGCTCCATCATAACGAATGTTCAGCTCCCTGAGTTAAACTCCATCGTCACAAAGAATTTTCTGAGAGTGCTACCGTCTGGTTTTTATATGAAGTTCTTTCCTTCACTACCACAGGCCTCAAAGCGGTCCAAATCTCCACTTGCAGATTCTACAAAAAGAGTGTTTGCAAACTGCTCTATCAAAAGGAATGTTCAACTCTGGGAGTTGAATGCAATCATCACAGAGCAGTTTCTGAGAATGCTTCTATGTCGTTTTTAGGAGAAGATATTTCCTTTTCCAACACAGTCCTCCAAGCCCGCTAAATAGCCACTTGCACATTGTAGAAAAAGTGTGTCAAAGCTGCGCTATCAAAGGGAAAGTTCAACTCTGTGAGGTGAATGCAAACATCCCAAAGAAGTTTCTGAGAATGCTTCCGTTTAGCTTTTAGGTGAAGATTATCCCGTTTCCAACGAAACCTTCAAAGAGGTCCAAATATCCCCTTGCGGATCCCACAGAAAGAGTGTTTCGAAACTGCTGTTTCAAAAGGAATCTTCAACTCTGTGAGTTGAATGCAATCATCACAAAGAAGTTTCTGACAATGCTTCTCTCTCGTCTTTCTGTGAAGATAAAGGAAAAGGCTTTCAGGCCTTTTCCACCACAGGCCTGAAAGCGCTCCAAATGTCCACTTGCAGATTCTGCCAAAAGAATATTTCAAAACTGCTCTATGAAAAGCAATGTTAAACTCTGTGGCTGGAACACAAACATCACAAAGCGGTTTCTGAGAATGTTTCAGTTTAGTTTTTCTGTGGAAATATTCCCGTTTCCAAAGAAATCTTCAAAGAGGTCCACGTATCCACTTACAGATTCTACAAAAAGACAGTTTCAAAACTGCTCCATCAAAAGGAGGGTTCAACTGTGTGACTTGAATGCAATCATCACTCAGAAGTTTCTGAGAATGCTTCTCTTTAGTTTTTACGTGAACATATACCCGTTTCGAACGAAGGCCACCCAGTGGTCCAAATATCCACTTGCAGATTATACAGAAAGAGTGTTTCGAACCTGAACTCTCAAAGGCAGGTTCATCTCTGCGAGTTAAATGCATTCATCATGAAGAACTTTCTCAGAGTGTTTGTGTTTAGTTATGGGAAATTATTCCCGTTTCCAACGAAATCCTCAGAGTGGTCCAAATATCCACCTGCAGATTCTACCAAAAGTGTATTTGGAAACTGCTCCATCAAAAGGCATGTTCAGCTCTGTGAGTGAAATTCCATCATCACAAAGAATATTCTGAGAATGCTTCCGTTTGCCTTTTATATGAAGTTCCTTCCTATACGACCGTAGGCCTCAAAGCAGTCCAAATCTCCATTTGCAGATTCTACAAAAAGAGTGATTCCAATCTGCTCTATCAATAGGATTGTTCAACTCCATGAGTTGAATGCCATCCTCACAAAGTAGTTTCTGAGAATGCTTCTATCTAGTTTTTATGTGAAGGTATTTCCTTTTCCACCACAGGCCTCCAAGCCCTCCAAACGTCCACTTGCAGATTCTCGAAAAAGAGTGTTTCATAGCTGCTCTTTCAAAAGGAAAGTTCAACTCTGGGAGTTGAATACAAACATCACAAAGTAGTTTCCGAGAATGCTTCTGTTTAGTTTTTATGTGAAGATGATCCCGTTTCCAGTGAAATCTTCAAAGAGGTCCACATATCCCCTTGCACATTCCAAAGAAAGAGGGTTTCAAAACTGCTCCATCAGAAGGATTGTTCAACTCTGTGAGTTGAATGCAGTCATCGCAGAAAACTTTCTGAGAATGCTTCTGTCTAGGTTTGATGTGAAGATATAGACGTTTCAAATGAAGGCTACAAAGTGGTCAAAATATACACTTGCAGATTCTACTACAAGGGTGTTGCAAACCTGAACTATCAAAGGAAGGTTCAACTCTGTGAGTTGAATACAAACATCACAAAGAATGTTCTGAGTTTGCTTCCGTTCAGTTATGGGAAGTTGATCCCGTTTCCAACGAAATCCTCAGAGAGGTCCAAATATCCCCTTGCAGATTCTACAAAACGTGTGTTTGGAAACTGCTCCATCATAACGAATGTTCAGCTCCCTGAGTTAAACTCCATCGTCACAAAGAATTTTCTGAGAGTGCTACCGTCTGGTTTTTATATGAAGTTCTTTCCTTCACTACCACAGGCCTCAAAGCGGTCCAAATCTCCACTTGCAGATTCTACAAAAAGAGTGTTTGCAAACTGCTCTATCAAAAGGAATGTTCAACTCTGGGAGTTGAATGCAATCATCACAGAGCAGTTTCTGAGAATGCTTCTATGTCGTTTTTAGGAGAAGATATTTCCTTTTCCAACACAGTCCTCCAAGCCCGCTAAATAGCCACTTGCACATTGTAGAAAAAGTGTGTCAAAGCTGCGCTATCAAAGGGAAAGTTCAACTCTGTGAGGTGAATGCAAACATCCCAAAGAAGTTTCTGAGAATGCTTCCGTTTAGCTTTTAGGTGAAGATTATCCCGTTTCCAACGAAACCTTCAAAGAGGTCCAAATATCCCCTTGCGGATCCCACAGAAAGAGTGTTTCGAAACTGCTGTTTCAAAAGGAATCTTCAACTCTGTGAGTTGAATGCAATCATCACAAAGAAGTTTCTGACAATGCTTCTCTCTCGTCTTTCTGTGAAGATAAAGGAAAAGGCTTTCAGGCCTTTTCCACCACAGGCCTGAAAGCGCTCCAAATGTCCACTTGCAGATTCTGCGAAAAGAATATTTCAAAACTGCTCTATGAAAAGCAATGTTAAACTCTGTGGCTCGAACACAAACATCACAAAGCGGTTTCTGAGAATGCTTCAGTTTAGTTTTTCTGTGGAAATATTCCCGTTTCCAAAGAAATCTTCAAAGAGGTCCACGTATCCACTTACAGATTCTACAAAAAGACAGTTTCAAAACTGCTCCATCAAAAGGAGGGTTCAACTGTGTGACTTGAATGCAATCATCACTCAGAAGTTTCTGAGAATGCTTCTCTTTAGTTTTTACGTGAACATATACCCGTTTCGAACGAAGGCCACCCAGTGGTCCAAATATCCACTTGCAGATTCTACAGAAAGAGTGTTTCGAACCTGAACTCTCAAAGGCAGGTTCATCTCTGCGAGTTAAATGCATTCATCATGAAGAACTTTCTCAGAGTGTTTGTGTTTAGTTATGGGAAATTATTCCCGTTTCCAACGAAATCCTCAGAGAGCTCCAAATATCCACCTGCAGATTCTACCAAAAGTGTATTTGGAAACTGCTCCATCAAAAGGCATGTTCAGCTCTGTGAGTGAAACTCCATCATCACAAAGAATATTCTGAGAATGCTTCCGTTTGCCTTTTATATGAAGTTCCTTCCTATACTACCGTAGGCCTCAAAGCAGTCCAAATCTCCATTTGCAGATTCTACAAAAAGAGTGATTCCAATCTGCTCTATCAATAGGATTGTTCAACTCCATGTGTTGAATGCCATCCTCACAATGTCGTTTCTGAGAATGCTTCTATCTAGTTTTTATGTGAAGATATTTCCTTTTCCACCACAGGCCTCAAAGCCCTCCAAACGTCCACTTTCAGATTCTCGAAAAAGAGTGTTTCATAGCTGCTCTTTCAAAAGGAAAGTTCAACTCTGGGAGTTGAATACAAACATCACAAAGTAGTTTCTGAGAATGCTTCTGTTTAGTTTTTATGTGAAGATGATCCCGTTTCCAGTGAAATCTTCAAAGAGGTCCACATATCCCCTTGCAGATTCCAAAGAAAGAGGGTTTCAAAACTGCTCCATCAGAAGGATTGTTCAACTCTGTGAGTTGAATGCAGTCATCGCAGAAAACTTTCTGAGAATGCTTCTGTCTAGGTTTGATGTGAAGATATAGACGTTTCAAACGAAGGCTACAAAGTGGTCAAAATATACACTTGCAGATTCTACTACAAGGGTGTTGCAAACCTGAACTATCAAAGGAAGGTTCAACTCTGTGAGTTGAATACAAACATCACAAAGAATGTTCTGAGTTTGCTTCCGTTCAGTTATGGGAAGTTGATCCCGTTTCCAACGAAATCCTCAGAGAGGTCCAAATATCCCCTTGCAGATTCTACAAAACGTGTGTTTGGAAACTGCTCCATCATAACGAATGTTCAGCTCCCTGAGTTAAACTCCATCGTCACAAAGAATTTTCTGAGAGTGCTACCGTCTGGTTTTTATATGAAGTTCTTTCCTTTACTACCACAGGCCTCAAAGCGATCCAAGTCTCCACTTGCAGATTCTACAAAAACAGTGTTTGCAAACTGCTCTATCAAAAGGAATGTTCAACTCTGGGAGTTGAATGCAATCATCACAGAGCAGTTTCTGAGAATGCTTCTATGTCGTTTTTAGGAGAAGATATTTCCTTTTCCAACACAGTCCTCCAAGCCCGCTAAATATCCACTTGCACATTGTAGAAAAAGTGTGTCGAAGCTGCGCTATCAAAGGGAAAGTTCAACTCTGTGAGGTGAATGCAATCATCCCAAAGAAGTTTCTGAGAATGCTTCCGTTTAGCTTTTAGGTGAAGATTATCCTGTTTCCAACGAAATCTTCAAAGAGGTCCAAATATCCCCTTGCAGATCCCACAGAAAGAGTGTTTCGAAACTGCTGTTTCAAAAGGAATCTTCAACTCTGTGAGTTGAATGCAATCTTCACAAAGAAGTTTCTGACAATGCTTCTCTCTCGTCTTTCTGTGAAGATAAAGGAAAAGGCTTTCAGGCCTTTTCCACCACAGGCCTGAAAGCGCTCCAAATGTCCACTTGCAGATTCTGCCAAAAGAATATTTCAAAACTGCTCTATGAAAAGCAATGTTAAACTCTGTGGCTCGAACACAAACATCACAAAGCAGTTTCTGAGAATGCTTCAGTTTAGTTTTTCTGTGGAAATATTCCCGTTTCCAAAGAAATCTTCAAAGAGGTCCACGCATCCACTTACAGATTCTACAAAAAGACAGTTTCAAAACTGCTCAATCAAAAGGAGGGTTCAACTGTGTGACTTGAATGCAATCATCACTCAGAAGTTTCTGAGAACGCTTCTCTTTAGTTTTTACGTGAACATATACCCGTTTCGAACGAAGGCCACCCAGTGGTCCAAATATCCACTTGCAGATTCTACAGAAAGAGTGTTTCGAACCTGAACTCTCAAAGGCAGGTTCATCTCTGTGAGTTCAATGCATTCAACATGAAGAACTTTCTCAGCGTGTTTGTGTTTAGTTATGGGAAATTATTCCCGTTTCCAACGAAATCCTCAGAGAGCTCCAAATATCCACCTGCAGATTCTACCAAAAGTGTATTTGGAAACTGCTCCATCAAAAGGCATGTTCAGCCCTGTGAGTGAAACTCCATCATCACAAAGAATATTCTGAGAATGCTTCCGTTTGCCTTTTATATGAAGTTCCTTCCTATACGACCGTAGGCCTCAAAGCAGTCCAAATCTCCATTTGCAGATTCTACAAAAAGAGTGATTCCAATCTGCTCTATCAATAGGATTGTTCAACTCCATGAGTTGAATGCCATCCTCACAAAGTAGTTTCTGAGAATGCTTCTATCTAGTTTTTATGTGAAGGTATTTCCTTTTCCACCACAGGCCTCCAAGCCCTCCAAACGTCCACTTGCAGATTCTCGAAAAAGAGTGTTTCATAGCTGCTCTTTCAAAAGGAAAGTTCAACTCTGGGAGTTGAATACAAACATCACAAAGTAGTTTCCGAGAATGCTTTCTGTTTAGTTTTTATGTGAAGATGATCCCGTTTCCAATGAAATTTTCAAAGAGGTCCACATATCCCCTTACAGATTCCAAAGAAAGAGGGTTTCAAAACTGCTCCATCAAAAGGATTGTTCAACTCTGTGAGTTGAATGCAGTCATCGCAGAAAACTTTCTGAGAATGCTTCTGTCTAGGTTTGATGTGAAGATATAGACGTTTAAAACGAAGGCTACAAAGTGGTCAAAATAGACACTTGCAGATTCTACTACAAGGGTGTTGCAAACCTGAAATATCAAAGGAAGGTTCCACTCTGTGAGTTGAATGCAAGCATCACAAAGAAGTTTCTGAGAATGCTTCGGTTCAGTTATGGGAAGTTGAACCCGTTTCCAACGAAATCTTCAGAGAGGTCCAAATATCCCCTTGCAGATTCTACAAAAAGTGTGTTTGGAACCTGCTCCACCAAAACGAATGTTCAGCTCTCTCAGTTAAACTCAATCGTCGCAAACAATTTTCTGAGAGGGCTACCGTCTAGTTTTTATATGAAGTTCTTTCCTTTACTACCACAGGCCTCAAGGCGGTCCAAATCTCCACTTGCAGATTCTACAAAAAGAGTGTTTGCAAACTGCTCTATCAAAAGGAATGTTCAACTCTGGGAGTTGAATGCAATCATCACAGAGTAGTTTCTGAGAATGCTTCTATGTCGTTTTTAGGAGAAGATATTTCCTTTTCCAACACAGTCCTCCAAGCCCGCTAAATAGCCACTTGCACATTGTAGAAAAAGTGTGTCAAAGCTGCGCTATCAAAGGGAAAGTTCAACTCTGTGAGGTGAATGCAAACATCCTAAAGAAGTTTCTGAGAATGCTTCCGTTTAGCTTTTAGGTGAAGATTATCCCGTTTCCAACGAAACCTTCAAAGAGGTCCAAATATCCCCTTGCGGATCCCACAGAAAGAGTGTTTCGAAACTGCTGTTTCAAAAGGAATCTTCAACTCTGTGAGTTGAATGCAACCATCACAAAGAAGTTTCTGACAATGCTTCTCTCTCGTCTTTCTGTGAAGATAAAGGAAAAGGCTTTCAGGCCTTTTCCACCACAGGCCTGAAAGCGCTCCAAGTGTCCACTTGCAGATTCTGCCAAAAGAATATTTCAAAACTGCTCTATGAAAAGCAATGTTAAACTCTGTGGCTCGAACACAAACATCACAAAGCGGTTTCTGAGAATGCTTCAGTTTAGTTTTTCTGTGGAAATATTCCCGTTTCCAAAGAAATCTTCAAAGAGGTCCACGCATCCACTTACAGATTCTACAAAAAGACAGTTTCAAAACTGCTCCATCAAAAGGAGGGTTCAACTGTGTGACTTGAATGCAATCATCACTCAGAAGTTTCTGAGAATGCTTCTCTTTAGTTTTTACGTGAACATATACCCGTTTCGAACGAAGGCCAGCCAGTGGTCCAAATATCCACTTGCAGATTCTACAGAAAGAGTGTTTCGAACCTGAACTCTCAAAGGCAGGTTCATCTC
This sequence comes from Homo sapiens, assembly GCF_000001405.40. Lineage (NCBI taxonomy): Eukaryota > Metazoa > Chordata > Mammalia > Primates > Hominidae > Homo > Homo sapiens. Next base: position 59,478,382 of record NC_000023.11, on the reverse strand, counting down.
TGCGAGTTAAATGCATTCATCATGAAGAACTTTCTCAGAGTGTTTGGGATATAGTCTTGTGGTGCGCCGTTTCTTAAGCCGGTCTGAAAAGCGCAATATTCGGGTGGGAGTGACCCGATTTTCCAGGTGCGTCCGTCACCCCTTTCTTTGACTCGGAAAGGGAACTCCCTGACCCGTGCGCTTCCCAGGTGAGGCAATGCCTCGCCCTGCTTCGGCTCGCGCACGGTGCGCACACACACTGGCCTGCGCCCACTGTCTGGCACTCCCTATTGAGATGAACCCGGTACCTCAGATGGAAATGCAGAAATCACCGTCTTCTGCGTCGCTCACGCTGGGAGCTGTAGACCGGAGCTGTTCCTATTCGGCCATCTTGGCTCCTCCCTCCTGTCTCTCTCAGAATATTCTTTGTGATGATGGAGTTTCACTCACAGAGCTGAACATGCCTTTTGATGGAGCAGTTTCCAAATACACTTTTGGTAGAATCTGCAGGTGGATATTTGGAGCTCTCTGAGGATTTCGTTGGAAACGGGAATAATTTCCCATAACTAAACACA
>NC_000023.11:59364933-59477728 GCF_000001405.40 Homo sapiens | reverse complement strand
TCCCGTTTGCCTTTTATATGAAGTTCCTTCCTGTACTACCGTAGGCCTCAAAGCAGTCCAAATCTCCATTTGCAGATTCTATAAAAAGAGTGATTCCAATCTGCTCTATCAATAGGATTGTTCAACTCCATGAGTTGAATGCCATCCTCACAAAGTAGTTTCTGAGAATGCTTCTATCTAGTTTTTATGTGAAGATATTTCCTTTTCCACCACAGGCCTCAAAGCCCTCCAAACGTCCACTTGCAGATTCTCGAAAAAGAGTGTTTCATAGCTGCTCTTTCAAAAGGAAAGTTCAACTCTGGGAGTTGAATACAAACATCACAAAGTAGTTTCCGAGAATGCTTCTGTTTAGTTTTTATGTGAAGATGATCCCGTTTCCAGTGAAATCTTCAAAGAGGTCCACATATCCCCTTGCAGATTCCAAAGAAAGAGGGTTTCAAAACTGCTCCATCAGAAGGATTGTTCAACTCTGTGAGTTGAATGCAGTCATCGCAGAAAACTTTCTGAGAATGCTTCTTTCTAGGTTTGATGTGAAGATATAGACGTTTCAAACGAAGGCTACAAAGTGGTCAAAATATACACTTGCAGATTCTACTACAAGGGTGTTGCAAACCTGAACTATCAAAGGAAGGTTCAACTCTGTGAGTTGAATACAAACATCACAAAGAATGTTCTGAGTTTGCTTCCGTTCAGTTATGGGAAGTTGATCCCGTTTCCAACGAAATCCTCAGAGAGGTCTAAATATCCCCTTGCAGATTCTACAAAACGTGTGTTTGGAAACTGCTCCATCATAACGAATGTTCAGCTCCCTGAGTTAAACTCCATCGTCACAAAGAATTTTCTGAGAGTGCTACCGTCTGGTTTTTATATGAAGTTCTTTCCTTCACTACCACAGGCCTCAAAGCGGTCCAAATCTCCACTTGCAGATTCTACAAAAAGAGTGTTTGCAAACTGCTCTATCAAAAGGAATGTTCAACTCTGGGAGTTGAATGCAATCATCACAGAGCAGTTTCTGAGAATGCTTCTATGTCGTTTTTAGGAGAAGATATTTCCTTTTCCAACACAGTCCTCCAAGCCCGCTAAATAGCCACTTGCACATTGTAGAAAAAGTGTGTCAAAGCTGCGCTATCAAAGGGAAAGTTCAACTCTGTGAGGTGAATGCAAACATCCCAAAGAAGTTTCTGAGAATGCTTCCGTTTAGCTTTTAGGTGAAGATTATCCCGTTTCCAACGAAACCTTCAAAGAGGTCCAAATATCCCCTTGCGGATCCCACAGAAAGAGTGTTTCAAAACTGCTGTTTCAAAAGGAATCTTCAACTCTGTGAGTTGAATGCAATCATCACAAAGAAGTTTCTGACAATGCTTCTCTCTCGTCTTTCTGTGAAGATAAAGGAAAAGGCTTTCAGGCCTTTTCCACCACAGGCCTGAAAGCGCTCCAAATGTCCACTTGCAGATTCTGCCAAAAGAATATTTCAAAACTGCTCTATGAAAAGCAATGTTAAACTCTGTGGCTGGAACACAAACATCACAAAGCGGTTTCTGAGAATGTTTAAGTTTAGTTTTTCTGTGGAAATATTCCCGTTTCCAAAGAAATCTTCAAAGAGGTCCACGTATCCACTTACAGATTCTACAAAAAGACAGTTTCAAAACTGCTCCATCAAAAGGAGGGTTCAACTGTGTGACTTGAATGCAATCATCACTCAGAAGTTTCTGAGAATGCTTCTCTTTAGTTTTTACTGTGAACATATACCCGTTTCGAACGAAGGCCACCCAGTGGTCCAAATATCCACTTGCAGATTCTACAGAAAGAGTGTTTCGAACCTGAACTCTCAAAGGCAGGTTCATCTCTGCGAGTTAAATGCATTCATCATGAAGAACTTTCTCAGAGTGTTTGTGTTTAGTTATGGGAAATTATTCCCGTTTCCAACGAAATCCTCAGAGAGCTCCAAATATCCACCTGCAGATTCTACCAAAAGTGTATTTGGAAACTGCTCCATCAAAAGGCATGTTCAGCTCTGTGAGTGAAACTCCATCATCACAAAGAATATTCTGAGAATGCTTCCGTTTGCCTTTTATATGAAGTTCCTTCCTATACGACCGTAGGCCTCAAAGCAGTCCAAATCTCCATTTGCAGATTCTACAAAAAGAGTGATTCCAATCTGCTCTATCAATAGGATTGTTCAACTCCATGAGTTGAATGCCATCCTCACAAAGTCGTTTCTGAGAATGCTTCTATCTAGTTTTTATGTGAAGATATTTCCTTTTCCACCACAGGCCTCAAAGCCTTCCAAACGTCCACTTGCAGATTCTCGAAAAAGAGTGTTTCATAGCTGCTCTTTCAAAAGGAAAGTTCAACTCTGGGAGTTGAATACAAACATCACAAAGTAGTTTCCGAGAATGCTTCTGTTTAGTTCTTATGTGAAGATGATCCCGTTTCCAGTGAAATCTTCAAAGAGGTCCACATATGCCCTTGCAGATTCCAAAGAAAGTGGGTTTCAAAACTGCTCCATCAAAAGGATTGCTCAACTCTGTGAGTAGAATGCAGTCATCGCAGAAAACTTTCTGAGAATGCTTCTGTCTAGGTTTGATGTGAAGATATAGACGTTTCAAACGAAGGCTACAAAGTGGTCAAAATATACACTTGCAGATTCTACTACAAGGGTGTTGCAAACCTGAACTATCAAAGGAAGGTTCAACTCTGTGAGTTGAATACAAACATCACAAAGAATGTTCTGAGTTTGCTTCCGTTCAGTTATGGGAAGTTGATCCCGTTTCCAACGAAATCCTCAGAGAGGTCCAAATATCCCCTCGCAGATTCTACAAAACGTGTGTTTGGAAACTGCTCCATCATAAAGAATGTTCAGCTCCCTGAGTTAAACTCCATCGTCACAAAGAATTTTCTGAGAGTGCTACCGTCTGGTTTTTATATGAAGTTCTTTCCTTCACTACCACAGGCCTCAAAGCGGTCCAAATCTCCACTTGCAGATTCTACAAAAAGAGTGTTTGCAAACTGCTCTATCAAAAGGAATGTTCAACTCTGGGAGTTGAATGCAATCATCACAGAGCAGTTTCTGAGAATGCTTCTATGTCGTTTTTAGGAGAAGATATTTCCTTTTCCAACACAGTCCTCCAAGCCCGCTAAATAGCCACTTGCACATTGTAGAAAAAGTGTGTCAAAGCTGCGCTATCAAAGGGAAAGTTCAACTCTGTGAGGTGAATGCAAACATCCCAAAGAAGTTTCTGAGAATGCTTCCGTTTAGCTTTTAGGTGAAGATTATCCCGTTTCCAACGAAACCTTCAAAGAGGTCCAAATATCCCCTTGCGGATCCCACAGAAAGAGTGTTTCGAAACTGCTGTTTCAAAAGGAATCTTCAACTCTGTGAGTTGAATGCAATCATCACAAAGAAGTTTCTGACAATGCTTCTCTCTCGTCTTTCTGTGAAGATAAAGGAAAAGGCTTTCAGGCCTTTTCCACCACAGGCCTGAAAGCGCTCCAAATGTCCACTTGCAGATTCTGCGAAAAGAATATTTCAAAACTGCTCTATGAAAAGCAATGTTAAACTCTGTGGCTGGAACACAAACATCACAAAGCGGTTTCTGAGAATGTTTCAGTTTAGTTTTTCTGTGGAAATATTCCCGTTTCCAAAGAAATCTTCAAAGAGGTCCACGTATCCACTTACAGATTCTACAAAAAGACAGTTTCAAAACTGCTCCATCAAAAGGAGGGTTCAACTGTGTGACTTGAATGCAATCATCACTCAGAAGTTTCTGAGAATGCTTCTCTTTAGTTTTTACGTGAACATATACCCGTTTCGAACGAAGGCCACCCAGTGGTCCAAATATCCACTTGCAGATTATACAGAAAGAGTGTTTCGAACCTGAACTCTCAAAGGCAGGTTCATCTCTGCGAGTTAAATGCATTCATCATGAAGAACTTTCTCAGAGTGTTTGTGTTTAGTTATGGGAAATTATTCCCGTTTCCAACGAAATCCTCAGAGAGCTCCAAATATCCACCTGCAGATTCTACCAAAAGTGTATTTGGAAACTGCTCCATCAAAAGGCATGTTCAGCTCTGTGAGTGAAACTCCATCATCACAAAGAATATTCTGAGAATGCTTCCGTTTGCCTTTTATATGAAGTTCCTTCCTATACTACCGTAGGCCTCAAAGCAGTCCAAATCTCCATTTGCAGATTCTACAAAAAGAGTGATTCCAATCTGCTCTATCAATAGGATTGTTCAACTCCATGAGTTGAATGCCATCCTCACAAAGTCGTTTCTGAGAATGATTCTATCTAGTTTTAATGTGAAGATATTTCCTTTTCCACCACAGGCCTCAAAGCCCTCCAAACGTCCACTTGCAGATTCTCGAAAAAGAGTGTTTCATAGCTGCTCTTTCAAAAGGAAAGTTCAACTCTGGGAGTTGAATACAAACATCACAAAGTAGTTTCCGAGAATGCTTCTGTTTAGTTTTTATGTGAAGATGATCCCGTTTCCAGTGAAATCTTCAAAGAGGTCCACATATCCCCTTGCAGATTCCAAAGAAAGAGGGTTTCAAAACTGCTCCATCAGAAGGATTGTTCAACTCTGTGAGTGGAATGCAGTCATCGCAGAAAACTTTCTGAGAATGCTTCTGTCTAGGTTTGATGTGAAGATATAGACGTTTCAAACGAAGGCTACAAAGTGGTCAAAATATACACTTGCAGATTCTACTACAAGGGTGTTGCAAACCTGAACTATCAAAGGAAGGTTCAACTCTGTGAGTTGAATACAAACATCACAAAGAATGTTCTGAGTTTGCTTCCGTTCAGTTATGGGAAGTTGATCCCGTTTCCAACGAAATCCTCAGAGAGGTCCAAATATCCCCTTGCAGATTCTACAAAACGTGTGTTTGGAAACTGCTCCATCATAACGAATGTTCAGCTCCCTGAGTTAAACTCCATCGTCACAAAGAATTTTCTGAGAGTGCTACCGTCTGGTTTTTATATGAAGTTCTTTCCTTCACTACCACAGGCCTCAAAGCGGTCCAAATCTCCACTTGCAGATTCTACAAAAAGAGTGTTTGCAAACTGCTCTATCAAAAGGAATGTTCAACTCTGGGAGTTGAATGCAATCATCACAGAGCAGTTTCTGAGAATGCTTCTATGTCGTTTTTAGGAGAAGATATTACCTTTTCCAACACAGTCCTCCTAGCCCGCTAAATAGCCACTTGCACATTGTAGAAAAAGTGTGTCAAAGCTGCGCTATCAAAGGGAAAGTTCAACTCTGTGAGGTGAATGCAAACATCCCAAAGAAGTTTCTGAGAATGCTTCCGTTTAGCTTTTAGGTGAAGATTATCCCGTTTCCAACGAAACCTTCAAAGAGGTCCAAATATCCCCTTGCGGATCCCACAGAAAGAGTGTTTCGAAACTGCTGTTTCAAAAGGAATCTTCAACTCTGTGAGTTGAATGCAATCATCACAAAGAAGTTTCTGACAATGCTTCTCTCTCGTCTTTCTGTGAAGATAAAGGAAAAGGCTTTCAGGCCTTTTCCACCACAGGCCTGAAAGCGCTCCAAATGTCCACTTGCAGATTCTGTGAAAAGAATATTTCAAAACTGCTCTATGAAAAGCAATGTTAAACTCTGTGGCTCGAACACAAACATCACAAAGCAGTTTCTGAGAATGCTTCAGTTTAGTTTTTCTGTGGAAATATTCCCGTTTCCAAAGAAATCTTCAAAGAGGTCCACGTATCCACTTACAGATTCTACAAAAAGACAGTTTCAAAACTGCTCCATCAAAAGGAGGGTTCAACTGTGTGACTTGAATGCAATCATCACTCAGAAGTTTCTGAGAATGCTTCTCTTTAGTTTTTACGTGAACATATACCCGTTTCGAACGAAGGCCACCCAGTGGTCCAAATATCCACTTGCAGATTCTACAGAAAGAGTGTTTCGAACCTGAACTCTCAAAGGCAGGTTCATCTCTGCGAGTTAAATGCATTCATCATGAAGAACTTTCTCAGAGTGTTTGTGTTTAGTTATGGGAAATTATTCCCGTTTCCAACGAAATCCTCAGAGAGCTCCAAATATCCACCTGCAGATTCTACCAAAAGTGTATTTGGAAACTGCTCCATCAAAAGGCATGTTCAGCTCTGTCAGTGAAACTCCATCATCACAAAGAATATTCTGAGAATGCTTCCGTTTGCCTTTTATATGAAGTTCCTTCCTGTACTACCGTAGGCCTCAAAGCAGTCCAAATCTCCATTTGCAGATTCTACAAAAAGAGTGATTCCAATCTGCTCTATCAATAGGATTGTTCAACTCCATGAGTTGAATGCCATCCTCACAAAGTCGTTTCTGAGAATGCTTCTATCTGGTTTTTGTGTGAAGATATTTCCTTTTCCACCACAGGCCTCAAAGCCCTCCAAACGTCCACTTGCAGATTCTCGAAAAAGAGTGTTTCATAGCTGCTCTTTCAAAAGGAAAGTTCAACTCTGGGAGTTGAATACAAACATCACAAAATAGTTTCCGAGAATGCTTCTGTTTAGTTTTTATGTGAAGATGATCCCGTTTCCAGTGAAATCTTCAAAGAGGTCCACATATCCCCTTGCAGATTCCAAAGAAAGAGGGTTTCAAAACTGCTCCATCAGAAGGATTGTTCAACTCTGTGAGTTGAATGCAGTCATCGCAGAAAACTTTCTGAGAATGCTTCTTTCTAGGTTTGATGTGAAGATATAGACGTTTCAAACGAAGGCTACAAAGTGGTCAAAATATACACTTGCAGATTCTACTACAAGGGTGTTGCAAACCTGAACTATCAAAGGAAGGTTCAACTCTGTGAGTTGAATACAAACATCACAAAGAATGTTCTGAGTTTGCTTCCGTTCAGTTATGGGAAGTTGATCCCGTTTCCAACGAAATCCTCAGAGAGGTCCAAATATCCCCTTGCAGATTCTACAAAACGTGTGTTTGGAAACTGCTCCATCATAACGAATGTTCAGCTCCCTGAGTTAAACTCCATCGTCACAAAGAATTTTCTGAGAGTGCTACCGTCTGGTTTTTATATGAATTTCTTTCCTTCACTACCACAGGCCTCAAAGCGGTCCAAATCTCCACTTGCAGATTCTACAAAAAGAGTGTTTGCAAACTGCTCTATCAAAAGGAATGTTCAACTCTGGGAGTTGAATGCAATCGTCACAGAGCAGTTTCTGAGAATGCTTCTATGTCGTTTTTAGGAGAAGATATTTCCTTTTCCAACACAGTCCTCCAAGCCCGCTAAATAGCCACTTGCACATTGTAGAAAAAGTGTGTCAAAGCTGCGCTATCAAAGGGAAAGTTCAACTCTGTGAGGTGAATGCAAACATCCCAAAGAAGTTTCTGAGAATGCTTCCGTTTAGCTTTTAGGTGAAGATTATCCCGTTTCCAACGAAACCTTCAAAGAGGTCCAAATATCCCCTTGCGGATCCCACAGAAAGAGTGTTTCGAAACTGCTGTTTCAAAAGGAATCTTCAACTCTGTGAGTTGAATGCAATCATCACAAAGAAGTTTCTGACAATACTTCTCTCTCGTCTTTCTGTGAAGATAAAGGAAAAGGCTTTCAGGCCTTTTCCACCACAGGCCTGAAAGCGCTCCAAATGTCCACTTGCAGATTCTGCGAAAAGAATATTTCAAAACTGCTCTATGAAAAGCAATGTTAAACTCTGTGGCTGGAACACAAACATCACAAAGCGGTTTCTGAGAATGTTTCAGTTTAGTTTTTCTGTGGAAATATTCCCGTTTCCAAAGAAATCTTCAAAGAGGTCCACGTATCCACTTACAGATTCTACAAAAAGACAGTTTCAAAACTGCTCCATCAAAAGGAGGATTCAACTGTGTGACTTGAATGCAATCATCACTCAGAAGTTTCTGAGAATGCTTCTCTTTAGTTTTTACGTGAACATATACCCGTTTCGAACGAAGGCCAGCCAGTGGTCCAAATATCCACTTGCAGATTCTACAGAAAGAGTGTTTCGAACCTGAACTCTCAAAGGCAGGTTCATCTCTGCGAGTTAAATGCATTAATCATGAAGAACTTTCTCAGAGTGTTTGTGTTTAGTTATGGGAAATTATTCCCGTTTCCAACGAAATCCTCAGAGAGCTCCAAATATCCACCTGCAGATTCTACCAAAAGTGTATTTGGAAACTGCTCCATCAAAAGGCATGTTCAGCTCTGTGAGTGAAACTCCATCATCACAAAGAATATTCTGAGAATGCTTCCGTTTGCCTTTTATATGAAGTTCCTTCCTGTACTACCGTAGGCCTCAAAGCAGTCCAAATCTCCATTTGCAGATTCTACAAAAAGAGTGATTCCAATCTGCTCTATCAATAGGATTGTTCAACTCCATGAGTTGAATGCCATCCTCACAAAGTAGTTTCTGAGAATGCTTCTATCTGGTTTTTGTGTGAAGATATTTCCTTTTCCACCACAGGCCTCAAAGCCCTCCAAACGTCCACTTGCAGATTCTCGAAAAAGAGTGTTTCATAGCTGCTCTTTCAAAAGGAAAGTTCAACTCTGGGAGTTGAATACAAACATCACAAAATAGTTTCCGAGAATGCTTCTGTTTAGTTTTTATGTGAAGATGATCCCGTTTCCAGTGAAATCTTCAAAGAGGTCCACATATCCCCTTGCAGATTCCAAAGAAAGAGGGTTTCAAAACTGCTCCATCAAAAGGATTGTTCAACTCTGTGAGTTGAATGCAGTCATCGCAGAAAACTTTCTGAGAATGCTTCTGTCTAGGTTTGATGTGAAGATATAGACGTTTCAAACGAAGGCTACAAAGTGATCAAAATATACACTTGCAGATTCTACTACAAGGGTGTTGCAAACCTGAACTATCAAAGGAAGGTTCAACTCTGTGAGTTGAATACAAACATCACAAAGAATGTTCTGAGTTTGCTTCCGTTCAGTTATGGGAAGTTGATCCCGTTTCCAACGAAATCCTCAGAGAGGTCCAAATATCCCCTTGCAGATTCTACAAAACGTGTGTTTGGAAACTGCTCCATCATAACGAATGTTCAGCTCCCTGAGTTAAACTCCATCGTCACAAAGAATTTTCTGAGAGTGCTACCGTCTGGTTTTTATATGAAGTTCTTTCCTTCACTACCACAGGCCTCAAAGCGGTCCAAATCTCCACTTGCAGATTCTACAAAAAGAGTGTTTGCAAACTGCTCTATCAAAAGGAATGTTCAACTCTGGGAGTTGAATGCAATCATCACAGAGCAGTTTCTGAGAATGCTTCTATGTCGTTTTTAGGAGAAGATATTTCCTTTTCCAACACAGTCCTCCAAGCCCGCTAAATAGCCACTTGCACATTGTAGAAAAAGTGTGTCAAAGCTGCGCTATCAAAGGGAAAGTTCAACTCTGTGAGGTGAATGCAAACATCCCAAAGAAGTTTCTGAGAATGCTTCCGTTTAGCTTTTAGGTGAAGATTATCCCGTTTCCAACGAAACCTTCAAAGAGGTCCAAATATCCCCTTGCGGATCCCACAGAAAGAGTGTTTCGAAACTGCTGTTTGAAAAGGAATCTTCAACTCTGTGAGTTGAATGCAATCATCACAAAGAAGTTTCTGACAATGCTTCTCTCTCGTCTTTCTGTGAAGATAAAGGAAAAGGCTTTCAGGCCTTTTCCACCACAGGCCTGAAAGCGCTCCAAATGTCCACTTGCAGATTCTGCCAAAAGAATATTTCAAAACTGCTCTATGAAAAGCAATGTTAAACTCTGTCGCTCGAACACAAACATCACAAAGCAGTTTCTGAGAATGCTTCAGTTTAGTTTTTCTGTGGAAATATTCCCGTTTCCAAAGAAATCTTCAAAGAGGTCCACGTATCCACTTACAGATTCTACAAAAAGACAGTTTCAAAACTGCTCCATCAAAAGGAGGGTTCAACTGTGTGACTTGAATGCAATCATCACTCAGAAGTTTCTGAGAATGCTTCTCTTTAGTTTTTACGTGAACATATACCCGTTTCGAACGAAGGCCACCCAGTGGTCCAAATATCCACTTGCAGATTCTACAGAAAGAGTGTTTCGAACCTGAACTCTCAAAGGCAGGTTCATCTCTGCGAGTTAAATGCATTCATCATGAAGAACTTTCTCAGAGTGTTTGTGCTTAGTTATGGGAAATTATTCCCGTTTCCAACGAAATCCTCAGAGTGGTCCAAATATCCACCTGCAGATTCTACCAAAAGTGTATTTGGAAACTGCTCCATCAAAAGGCATGTTCAGCTCTGTGAGTGAAACTCCATCATCACAAAGAATATTCTGAGAATGCTTCCGTTTGCCTTTTATATGAAGTTCCTTCCTATACGACCGTAGGCCTCAAAGCAGTCCAAATCTCCATTTGCAGATTCTACAAAAAGAGTGATTCCAATCTGCTGTATCAATAGGATTGTTCAACTCCATGAGTTGAAAGCCATCCTCACGAAGTAGTTTCTGAGAATGCTTCTATCTAGTTTTTATGTGAAGATATTTCCTTTTCCACCACAGGCCTCAAAGCCCTCCAAACGTCCACTTGCAGATTCTCGAAAAAGAGTGTTTCATAGCTGCTCTTTCAAAAGGAAAGTTCAACTCTGGGAGTTGAATACAAACATCACAAAGTAGTTTCCGAGAATGCTTCTGTTTAGTTTTTATGTGAAGATGATCCCGTTTCCAGTGAAATCTTCAAAGAGGTCCACATATCCCCTTGCAGATTCCAAAGAAAGAGGGTTTCAAAACTGCTCCATCAAAAGGATTGTTCAACTCTGTGAGTTGAATGCAGTCATCGCAGAAAACTTTCTGAGAATGCTTCTGTCTAGGTTTGATGTGAAGATATAGACGTTTCAAACGAAGGCTACAAAGTGGTCAAAATATACACTTGCAGATTCTACTACAAGGGTGTTGCAAACCTGAACTATCAAAGGAAGGTTCAACTCTGTGAGTTGAATACAAACATCACAAAGAATGTTCTGAGTTTGCTTCCGTTCAGTTATGGGCAGTTGATCCCGTTTCCAGCGAAATCCTCAGAGAGGTCCAAATATCCCCTTGCAGATTCTACAAAACGTGTGTTTGGAAACTGCTCCATCATAACGAATGTTCAGCTCCCTGAGTTAAACTCCATCGTCACAAAGAATTTTCTGAGAGTGCTACCGTCTGGTTTTTATATGAAGTTCTTTCCTTTACTACCATAGGCCTCAAAGCGGTCCAAATCTCCACTTGCAGATTCTACAAAAAGAGTGTTTGCAAACTGCTCTATCAAAAGGAATGTTCAACCCTGGGAGTTGAATGCAATCATCACACAGCAGTTTCTGAGAATGCTTCTATGTCGTTTTTAGGAGAAGATATTTCCTTTTCCAACACAGTCCTCCACGCCCGCTAAATATCCACTTGCACATTGTAGAAAAAAAGTGTGTCAAAGCTGCGCTATCAAAGGGAAAGTTCAACTCTGTGAGGTGAATGCAAACATCCCAAAGAAGTTTCTGAGAGTGCTTCCGTTTAGCTTTTAGGTGAAGATTATCCCGTTTCCAACGAAAGCTTCAAAGAGGTCCAAATATCCCCTTGCGGATCCCACAGAAAGAGTGTTTCGAAACTGCTGTTTCAAAAGGAATCTTCAACTCTGTGAGTTGAATGCAATCATCACAAAGAAGTTTCTGACAATGCTTCTCTCTCGTCTTTCTGTGAAGATAAAGGAAAAGGCTTTCAGGCCTTTTCCACCACAGGCCTGAAAGCGCTCCAAATGTCCACTTGCAGATTCTGCCAAAAGAATATTTCAAAACTGCTCTATGAAAAGCAATGTTAAACTCTGTGGCTCGAACACAAACATCACAAAGCGGTTTCTGAGAATGCTTCAGTTTAGTTTTTCTGTGGAAATATTCCCGTTTCCAAAGAAATCTTCAAAGAGGTCCACGTATCCACTTACAGATTCTACAAAAAGACAGTTTCAAAACTGCTCCATCAAAAGGAGGGTTCAACTGTGTGACTTGAATGCAATCATCACTCAGAAGTTTCTGAGAATGCTTCTCTTTAGTTTTTACGTGAACATATACCCGTTTCGAACGAAGGCCAGCCAGTGGTCCAAATATCCACTTGCAGATTCTACAGAAAGAGTGTTTCGAACCTGAACTCTCAAAGGCAGGTTCATCTCTGCGAGTTAAATGCATTCATCATGAAGAACTTTCTCAGAGTGTTTGTGTTTAGTTATGGGAAATTATTCCCGTTTCCAACGAAATCCTCAGAGAGCTCCAAATATCCACCTGCAGATTCTACCAAAAGTGTATTTGGAAACTGCTCCATCAAAAGGCATGTTCAGCTCTGTGAGTGAAACTCCATCATCACAAAGAATATTCTGAGAATGCTTCCGTTTGCCTTTTATATGAAGTTCCTTCCTATACGACCGTAGGCCCCAAAGCAGTCCAAATCTCCATTTGCAGATTCTACAAAAAGAGTGATTCCAATCTGCTCTATCAATAGGATTGTTCAACTCCATGAGTTGAATGCCATCCTCACAAAGTCGTTTCTGAGAATGCTTCTATCTAGTTTTTATGTGAAGATATTTCCTTTTCCACCACAGGCCTCAAAGCCCTCCAAACGTCCGCTTGCAGATTCTCGAAAAAGAGTGTTTCATAGCTGCTCTTTCAAAAGGAAAGTTCAACTCTGGGAGTTGAATACAAACATCACAAAGTAGTTTCCGAGAATGCTTCTGTTTAGTTCTTATGTGAAGATGATCCCGTTTCCAGTGAAATCTTCAATGAGGTCCACATATCCCCTTGCAGATTCCAAAGAAAGAGGGTTTCAACACTGCTCCATCAAAAGGATTGTTCAACTCTGTGAGTTGAATGCAGTCATCGCAGAAAACTTTCTGAGAATGCTTCTGTCTAGGTTTGATGTGAAGATATAGACGTTTCAAACGAAGGCTACAAAGTGGTCAAAATATACACTTGCAGATTCTACTACAAGGGTGTTGCAAACCTGAACTCTCAAAGGAAGGTTCAACTCTGTGAGTTGAATACAAACATCACAAAGAATGTTCTGAGTTTGCTTCCGTTCAGTTATGGGAAGTTGATCCCGTTTCCAACGAAATCCTCAGAGAGGTCCAAATATCCCCTTGCAGATTCTGCAAAACGTGTGTTTGGAAACTGCTCCATCATAACGAATGTTCAGCTCTCTGAGTTAAACTCCATCGTCACAAAGAATTTTCTGAGAGTGCTACCGTCTAGATTTTATATGAAGTTCTTTCCTTTACTACCACAGGCCTCAAAGCGGTCCAAATCTCCACTTGCAGATTCTACAAAAAGAGTGTCTGCAAACTGCTCTATCAAAAGGAATGTTCAACTCTGGGAGTTGAATGCAATCATCACAGAGCAGTTTCTGAGAATGCTTCTATGTCGTTTTTAGGAGAAGATATTTCCTTTTCCAACACAGTCCTCCAAGCCCGCTAAATATCCACTTGCACATTGTAGAAAAAGTGTGTCGAAGCTGCGCTATCAAAGGGAAAGTTCAACTCTGTGAGGTGAATGCAAACATCCCAAAGAAGTTTCTGAGAATGCTTCCGTTTAGCTTTTAGGTGAAGATTATCCCGTTTCCAACGAAATCTTCAAAGAGGTCCAAATATCCCCTTGCGGATCCCACAGAAAGAGTGTTTCGAAACTGCTGTTTCAAAAGGAATCTTCAACTCTGTGAGTTGAATGCAATCATCACAAAGAAGTTTCTGACAATGCTTCTCTCTCGTCTTTCTGTGAAGAGAAAGGAAAAGGCTTTCAGGCCTTTTCCACCACAGGCCTGAAAGCGCTCCAAATGTCCACTTGCAGATTCTGCCAAAAGAATATTTCAAAACTGTTCTATGAAAAGCAATGTTAAACTCTGTGGCTCGAACACAAACATCACAAAGCAGTTTCTGAGAATGCTTCAGTTTAGTTTTTCTGTGGAAATATTCCCGTTTCCAAAGAAATCTTCAAAGAGGTCCACGTATCCACTTACAGATTCTACAAAAAGACAGTTTCAAAACTGCTCAATCAAAAGGAGGGTTCAACCGTGTGACTTGAATGCAATCATCACTCAGAAGTTTCTGAGAATGCTTCTCTTTAGTTTTTACGTGAACATATACCCGTTTCGAACGAAGGCCACACAGTGGTCCAAATATCCACTTGCAGATTCTACAGAAAGAGTGTTTCGAACCTGAACTCTCAAAGGCAGGTTCATCTCTGCGAGTTAAATGCATTCATCATGAAGAACTTTCTCAGCGTGTTTGTGTTTAGTTATGGGAAATTATTCCCGTTACCAAAGAAATCCGCAGAGAGGTCCAAATATCCACCTGCAGATTCTACCAAAAGTGTATTTGGAAACTGCTCCATCAAAAGGCATGTTCAGCTCTGTGAGTGAAACTCCATCGTCACAAAGAATATTCTGAGAATGCTTCCGTTTGCCTTTTATATGAAGTACCTTCCTATACTACCGTAGGCCTCAAAGCAGTCCAAATCTCCATTTGCAGATTCTACAAAAAGAGTGATTCCAATCTGCTCTATCAATAGGATTGTTCAACTCCATGAGTTGAATGCCATCCTCACAAAGTCGTTTCTGAGAATGCTTCTATCTAGTTTTTATGTGAAGATATTTCCTTTTCCACCACAGGCCTCAAAGCCCTCCAAACGTCCACTTGCAGATTCTCGAAAAAGAGTGTTTCATAGCTGCTCTTTCAAAAGGAAAGTTCAACTCTGCGAGTTGAATACAAACATCACAAAGTAGTTTCCGAGAATGCTTCTGTTTAGTTCTTATGTGAAGATGATCCCGTTTCCAGTGAAATCTTCAAAGAGGTCCACATATCCCCTTGCAGATTCCAAAGAAAGAGGGATTCAAAACTGCTCCATCAAAAGGATTGTTCAACTCTGTGAGTTGAATGCTGTCATCGCAGAAAACTTTCTGAGAATGCTTCTGTCTAGGTTTGAGGTGAAGATATAGACGTTTCAAACGAAGGCTACAAAGTGGTCAAAATATACACTTGCAGATTCTACTACAAGGGTGTTGCAAACCTGAACTATCAAAGGAAGGTTCAACTCTGTGAGTTGAATACAAACATCACAAAGAATGTTCTGAGTTTGCTTCCGTTCAGTTATGGGAAGTTGATCCCGTTTCCAACGAAATCCTCAGAGAGTTCCAAATATCCCCTTGCAGATTCTACAAAACGTGTGTTTGGAAACTGCTCCATCATAACGAATGTTCAGCTCTCTGAGTTAAACTCCATCGTCACAAAGAATTTTCTGAGAGTGCTACCGTCTGGTTTTTATATGAAGTTCTTTCCTTTACTACCACAGGCCTCAAAGCGATCCAAGTCTCCACTTGCAGATTCTACAAAAACAGTGTTTGCAAACTGCTCTATCAAAAGGAATGTTCAACTCTGGGAGTTGAATGCAATCATCACAGAGCAGTTTCTGAGAATGCTTCTATGTCGTTTTTAGGAGAAGATATTTCCTTTTCCAACACAGTCCTCCAAGCCCGCTAAATATCCACTTGCACATTGTAGAAAAAGTGTGTCGAAGCTGCGCTATCAAAGGGAAAGTTCAACTCTGTGAGGTGAATGCAAACATCCCAAAGAAGTTTCTGAGAATGCTTCCGTTTAGCTTTTAGGTGAAGATTATCCTGTTTCCAACGAAATCTTCAAAGAGGTCCAAATATCCCCTTGCAGATCCCACAGAAAGAGTGTTTCGAAACTGCTGTTTCAAAAGGAATCTTCAACTCTGTGAGTTGAATGCAATCTTCACAAAGAAGTTTCTGACAATGCTTCTCTCTCGTCTTTCTGTGAAGATAAAGGAAAAGGCTTTCAGGCCTTTTCCACCACAGGCCTGAAAGCGCTCCAAATGTCCACTTGCAGATTCTGCCAAAAGAATATTTGAAAACTGCTCTATGAAAAGCAATGTTAAACTCTGCGGCTCGAACACAAACATCACAAAGCAGTTTCTGAGAATGCTTCAGTTTAGTTTTTCTGTGGAAATATTCCCGTTTCCAAAGAAATCTTCAAAGATGTCCACGTGTCCTCTTACAGATTCTACAAAAAGACAGTTTCAAAACTGCTCAATCAAAAGGAGGGTTCAACCGTGTGACTTGAATGCAATCATCACTCAGAAGTTTCTGAGAATGCTTCTCTTTAGTTTTTACGTGAACATATACCCGTTTCGAACGAAGGCCAGCCAGTGGTCCAAATATCCACTTGCAGATTCTACAGAAAGAGTGTTTCGAACCTGAACTCTCAAAGGCAGGTTCATCTCTGCGAGTTCAATGCATTCATCATGAAGAACTTTCTCAGAGTGTTTGTGTTTAGGTATGGGAAATTATTCCCGTTTCCAACGAAATCCTCAGAGAGGTCCAAATATCCACCTGCAGATTCTACCAAAAGTGTATTTGGAAACTGCTCCATCAAAAGGCATGTTCAGCTCTGTGAGTGAAACTCCATCATCACAAAGAATATTCTGAGAATGCTTCCGTTTGCCTTTTATATGAAGTTCCTTCCTATACTACCGTAGGCCTCAAAGCAGTCCAAATCTCCATTTGCAGATTCTACCAAAAGAGTGATTCCAATCTGCTCTATCAATAGGATTGTTCAACTCCATGAGTTGAATGCCATCCTCACAAAGTCGTTTCTGAGAATGCTTCTATCTAGTTTTTATGTGAAGATATTTCCTTTTCCACCACAGGCCTCAAAGCCCTCCAAACGTCCACTTGCAGATTCTCGAAAAAGAGTGTTTCATAGCTGCTCTTTCAAAAGGAAAGTTCAACTCTGGGAGTTGAATACAAACATCACAAAGTAGTTTCCGAGAATGCTTCTGTTTAGTTCTTATGTGAAGATGATCCCGTTTCCAGTGAAATCTTCAAAGAGGTCCACATATCCCCTTGCAGATTCCAAAGAAAGAGGGTTTCAAAACTGCTCCATCAAAAGGATTGTTCAACTCTGTGAGTTGAATGCAGTCATCGCAGAAAACTTTCTGAGAATGCTTCTGTCTAGGTTTGAGGTGAAGATATTGACGTTTCAAACGAAGGCTACAAAGTGGTCAACATATACACTTGCAGATTCTACTACAAGGGTGTTGCAAACCTCAACTATCAAAGGAAGGTTCAACTCTGTGAGATGAATGCAAACATCACAAAGAATGTTCTGAGTTTGCTTCCGTTCAGTTATGGGAAGTTGATCCCGTTTCCAACGAAATCCTCAGAGAGGTCCAAATATCCCCTTGCAGATTCTACAAAACGTGTGTTTGGAAACTGCTCCATCATAACGAATGTTCAGCTCTCTGAGTTAAACTCCATCGTCACAAAGAATTTTCTGAGAGTGCTACCCTCTGGTTTTTATATGAAGTTGTTTCCTTTACTACCACAGGCCTCAAAGCGGTCCAAATCTCCACTTGCAGATTCTACAAAAAGAGTGTTTGCAAACTGCTCTATCAAAAGGAATGTTCAACTCTGGGAGTTGAAAGCAATCATCACAGAGCAGTTTCTGAGAATGCTTCTATGTCGTTTTTAGGAGAAGATATTTCCTTTTCCAACACAGTCCTCCAAGCCCGCTAAATATCCACTTGCACATTGTAGAAAAAGTGTGTCGAAGCTGCGCTATCAAAGGGAAAGTTCAACTCTGTGAGGTGAATGCAAACATCCCAAAGAAGTTTCTGAGAATGCTTCCGTTTAGCTTTTAGGTGAAGATTATCCCGTTTCCAACGAAATCTTCAAAGAGGTCCAAATATCCCCCTGCGGATCCCACAGAAAGAGTGTTTCGAAACTGCTGTTTCAAAAGGAATCTTCAACTCTGTGAGTTGAATGCAATCATCACAAAGAAGTTTCTGACAATGCTTCTCTCTCGTCTTTCTGTGAAGATTAAGGAAAAGGCTTTCAGGCCTTTTCCACCACAGGCCTGAAAGGGCTCCAAATGTCCACTTGCAGATTCTGCCAAAAGAATATTTCAAAACTGCTCTATGAAAAGCAATGTTAAACTCTGTGGCTCGAACACAAAGATCACAAAGCAGTTTCTGAGAATGCTTCAGTTTAGTTTTTCTGTGGAAATATTCCCGTTTCCAAAGAAATCTTCAAAGAGGTCCACGCATCCACTTACAGATTCTACAAAAAGACAGTTTCAAAACTGCTCAATCAAAAGGAGGGTTCAACTGTGTGACTTGAATGCAATCATCACTCAGAAGTTTCTGAGAACGCTTCTCTTTAGTTTTTACGTGAACATATACCCGTTTCGAACGAAGGCCAGCCAGTGGTCCAAATATCCACTTGCAGATTCTACAGAAAGAGTGTTTCGAACCTGAACTCTCAAAGGCAGGTTCATCTCTGCGAGTTAAATGCATTCATCATGAAGAACTTTCTCAGCGTGTTTGTGTTTAGTTATGGGAAATTATTCCCGTTTCCAACGAAATCCTCAGAGAGCTCCAAATATCCACCTGCAGATTCTACCAAAAGTGTATTTGGAAACTGCTCCATCAAAAGGCATGTTCAGCCCTGTGAGTGAAACTCCATCATCACAAAGAATATTCTGAGAATGCTTCCGTTTGCCTTTTATATGAAGTTCCTTCCTATACTACCGTAGGCCTCAAAGCAGTGCAAATCTCCATTTGCAGATTCTACAAAAAGAGTGATTCCAATCTGCTCTATCAATAGGACTGTTCAACTCCATGAGTTGAATGCCGTCCTCACAAAGTAGTTTCTGAGAATGCTTCTATCTAGTTTTTATGTGAAGATATTTCCTTTTCCACCACAGGCCTCAAAGCCCTCCAAACGTCCACTTGCAGATTCTCGAAAAAGAGTGTTTCATAGCTGCTCTTTCAAAAGGAAAGTTCAACTCTGGGAGGTGAATACAAACATCACAAAGTAGTTTCCGAGAATGCTTCTGTTTAGTTCTTATGTGAAGATGATCCCGTTTCCAGTGAAATCTTCAAAGAGGTCCACATATCCCCTTGCAGATTCCAAAGAAAGAGGGTTTCAAAACTGCTCCATCAAAAGGATTGTTCAACTCTGTGAGTTGAATGCAGTCATCGCAGAAAACTTTCTGAGAATGCTTCTGTCTAGGTTTGATGTGAAGATATAGACGTTTTAAACGAAGGTTACAAAGTGGTCAAAATATACACTTGCAGATTCTACTACAAGGCTGTTGCAAACCTGAACTATCAAAGGAAGGTTCAACTCTGTGAGTTGAATACAAACATCACAAAGAATGTTCTGAGTTTGCTTCCGTTCAGTTATGGGAAGTTGATCCCGTTTCCAACGAAATCCTCAGAGAGGTCCAAATATCCCCTTGCAGATTCTGCAAAACGTGTGTTTGGAAACTGCTCCATCATAACGAATGTTCAGCTCTCTGAGTTAAACTCCATCGTCACAAAGAATTTTCTGAGAGTGCTACCGTCTAGTTTTTATATGAAGTTCTTTCCTTTACTACCACAGGCCTCAAAGCGGTCCAAATCTCCACTTGCAGATTCTACAAAAAGAGTGTTTGCAAACTGCTCTATCAAAAGGAATGTTCAACTCTGGGAGTTGAATGCAATCATCACAGAGCAGTTCTTGAGAATGCTTCTATGTCGTTTTTAGGAGAAGATATTTCCTTTTCCACCACAGTCCTCCAAGCCCACTAAATATCCACTTGCACATTGCAGAAAAAGTGTGTCGAAGCTGCGCTATCAAAGGGAAAGTTCAACTCTGTGAGGTGAATGCAAACATCCCAAAGAAGTTTCTGAGAATGCTTCCGTTTAGCTTTTAGGTGAAGATTATCCCGTTTCCAACGAAATCTTCAAAGAGGTCCAAATATCCCCTTGCGGATCCCACAGAAAGAGTGTTTCGAAACTGCTGTTTCAAAAGGAATCTACAACTCTGTGAGTTGACTGCAATCATCACAAAGAAGTTTCTGACAATGCTTCTCTCTCGTCTTTCTGTGAAGATAAAGGAAAAGGCTTTCAGGCCTTTTCCACCACAGGCCTGAAAGCGCTCCAAATGTCCACTTGCAGATTCTGCCAAAAGAATATTTCAAAACTGCTCTATGAAAAGCAATGTTAAACTCTGCGGCTCGAACACCAACATCACAACGCAGTTTCTGAGAATGCTTCAGTTTAGTTTTTCTGTGGAAATATTCCCATTTCCAAAGAAATCTTCAAAGAGGTCCACGTATCCACTTCCAGATTCTACAAAAAGACAGTTTCAAAGCTGCTCAATCAAAAGGCGGGTTCAACTGTGTGACTTGAATGCAATCATCACTCAGAAGTTTCTGAGAATGCTTCTCTTTAGTTTTTACGTGAACATATACCCGTTTCGAACGAAGGCCACCCAGTGGTCCAAATATCCACTTGCAGATTCTACAGAAAGAGTGTTTGGAACCTGAACTCTCAAAGGCAGGTTCATCTCTGCGAGTTAAATGCATTCATCATGAAGAACTTTCTCAGAGTGTTTGTGTTTAGTTATGGGAAATTATTCCCGTTTCCAACGAAATCCTCCGAGAGGTCCAAATATCCACCTGCAGATTCTACCAAAAGTGTATTTGGAAACTGCTCCATCAAAAGGCATGTTCAGCTCTGTGAGTGAAACTCCATCATCACAAAGAATATTCTGAGAATGCTTCCGTTTGCCTTTTATATGAAGTTCCTTCCTATACTACCGTAGGCCTCAAAGCAGTCCAAATCTCCATTTGCAGATTCTACAAAAAGAGTGATTCCAATCTGCTCTATCAATAGGATTGTTCAACTCCATGAGTTGAATGCCATCCTCACAAAGTCGTTTCTGAGAATGCTTCTATCTAGTTTTTATGTGAAGATATTTCCTTTTCCACCACAGGCCTCAAAGCCCTCCAAACGTCCACTTGCAGATTCTCGAAAAAGAGTGTTTCATAGCTGCTCTTTCAAAAGGAAAGTTCAACTCTGGGAGTTGAATACAAACATCACAAAGTAGTTTCCGAGAATGCTTCTGTTTAGTTTTTATGTGAAGATGATCCCGTTTCCAGTGAAATCTTCAAAGAGGTCCACATATCCCCTTGCAGATTCCAAAGAAAGAGGGTTTCAAAACTGCTCCATCAGAAGGATTGTTCAACTCTGTGAGTTGAATGCAGTCATCGCAGAAAACTTTCTGAGAATGCTTCTGTCTAGGTTTGATGTGAAGATATAGACGTTTCAAACGAAGGCTACAAAGTGGTCAAAATATACACTTGCAGATTCTACTACAAGGGTGTTGCAAACCTGAACTATCAAAGGAAGGTTCAACTCTGTGAGTTGAATACAAACATCACAAAGAATGTTCTGAGTTTGCTTCCGTTCAGTTATGGGAAGTTGATCCCGTTTCCAACGAAATCCTCAGAGAGGTCCAAATATCCCCTTGCAGATTCTACAAAACGTGTGTTTGGAAACTGCTCCATCATAACGAATGTTCAGCTCCCTGAGTTAAACTCCATCGTCACAAAGAATTTTCTGAGAGTGCTACCGTCTGGTTTTTATATGAATTTCTTTCCTTCACTACCACAGGCCTCAAAGCGGTCCAAATCTCCACTTGCAGATTCTACAAAAAGAGTGTTTGCAAACTGCTCTATCAAAAGGAATGTTCAACTCTGGGAGTTGAATGCAATCGTCACAGAGCAGTTTCTGAGAATGCTTCTATGTCGTTTTTAGGAGAAGATATTTCCTTTTCCAACACAGTCCTCCAAGCCCGCTAAATAGCCACTTGCACATTGTAGAAAAAGTGTGTCAAAGCTGCGCTATCAAAGGGAAAGTTCAACTCTGTGAGGTGAATGCAAACATCCCAAAGAAGTTTCTGAGAATGCTTCCGTTTAGCTTTTAGGTGAAGATTATCCCGTTTCCAACGAAACCTTCAAAGAGGTCCAAATATCCCCTTGCGGATCCCACAGAAAGAGTGTTTCGAAACTGCTGTTTCAAAAGGAATCTTCAACTCTGTGAGTTGAATGCAATCATCACAAAGAAGTTTCTGACAATACTTCTCTCTCGTCTTTCTGTGAAGATAAAGGAAAAGGCTTTCAGGCCTTTTCCACCACAGGCCTGAAAGCGCTCCAAATGTCCACTTGCAGATTCTGCGAAAAGAATATTTCAAAACTGCTCTATGAAAAGCAATGTTAAACTCTGTGGCTGGAACACAAACATCACAAAGCGGTTTCTGAGAATGTTTCAGTTTAGTTTTTCTGTGGAAATATTCCCGTTTCCAAAGAAATCTTCAAAGAGGTCCACGTATCCACTTACAGATTCTACAAAAAGACAGTTTCAAAACTGCTCCATCAAAAGGAGGATTCAACTGTGTGACTTGAATGCAATCATCACTCAGAAGTTTCTGAGAATGCTTCTCTTTAGTTTTTACGTGAACATATACCCGTTTCGAACGAAGGCCACCCAGTGGTCCAAATATCCACTTGCAGATTCTACAGAAAGAGTGTTTCGAACCTGAACTCTCAAAGGCAGGTTCATCTCTGCGAGTTAAATGCATTCATCATGAAGAACTTTCTCAGAGTGTTTGTGTTTAGTTATGGGAAATTATTCCCGTTTCCAACGAAATCCTCAGAGAGCTCCAAATATCCACCTGCAGATTCTACCAAAAGTGTATTTGGAAACTGCTCCATCAAAAGGCATGTTCAGCTCTGTGAGTGAAACTCCATCATCACAAAGAATATTCTGAGAATGCTTCCGTTTGCCTTTTATATGAAGTTCCTTCCTGTACTACCGTAGGCCTCAAAGCAGTCCAAATCTCCATTTGCAGATTCTACAAAAAGAGTGATTCCAATCTGCTCTATCAATAGGATTGTTCAACTCCATGAGTTGAATGCCATCCTCACAAAGTAGTTTCTGAGAATGCTTCTATCTGGTTTTTGTGTGAAGATATTTCCTTTTCCACCACAGGCCTCAAAGCCCTCCAAACGTCCACTTGCAGATTCTAGAAAAAGAGTGTTTCATAGCTGCTCTTTCAAAAGGAAAGTTCAACTCTGGGAGTTGAATACAAACATCACAAAATAGTTTCCGAGAATGCTTCTGTTTAGTTTTTATGTGAAGATGATCCCGTTTCCAGTGAAATCTTCAAAGAGGTCCACATATCCTCTTGCAGATTCCAAAGAAAGAGGGTTTCAAAACTGCTCCATCAAAAGGATTGTTCAACTCTGTGAGTTGAATGCAGTCATCGCAGAAAACTTTCTGAGAATGCTTCTGTCTAGGTTTGATGTGAAGCATATAGACGTTTCAAACGAAGGCTACAAAGTGGTCAAAATATACACTTGCAGATTCTACTACAAGGGTGATGCAAACCTGAACTATCAAAGGAAGGTTCAACTCTGTGAGTTGAATACAAACATCACAAAGAATGTTCTGAGTTTGCTTCCGTTCAGTTATGGGAAGTTGATCCCGTTTCCAACGAAATCCTCAGAGAGGTCCAAATATCCCCTTGCAGATTCTACAAAACGTGTGTTTGGAAACTGCTCCATCATAACGAATGTTCAGCTCTCTGAGTTAAACTCCATCGTCACAAAGAATTTTCTGAGAGT
The DNA here is from genome assembly GCF_000001405.40 of Homo sapiens. Lineage (NCBI taxonomy): Eukaryota > Metazoa > Chordata > Mammalia > Primates > Hominidae > Homo > Homo sapiens. The sequence goes on along the minus strand of NC_000023.11, from coordinate 59,454,248 downwards.
GCTACCGTCTAGTTTTTATATGAAGTTCTTTCCTTTACTACCACAGGCCTCAAAGCGGTCCAAATCTCCACTTGCAGATTCTACAAAAAGAGTGTTTGCAAACTGCTCTATCAAAAGGAATGTTCAACTCTGGGAGTTGAATGCAATCATCACAGAGCAGTTTCTGAGAATGCTTCTATGTCGTTTTTAGGAGAAGATATTTCCTTTTCCAACACAGTCCTCCAAGCCCGCTAAATATCCACTTGCACATTGTAGAAAAAGTGTGTCGAAGCTGCGCTATCAAAGGGAAAATTCAACTCTGTGAGGTGAATGCAAACTTCCCAAAGAAGTTTCTGAGAATGCTTCCGTTTAGCTTTTAGGTGAAGATTATCCCGTTTCCAACGAAATCTTCAAAGAGGTCCAAATATCCCCTTGCGGATCCCACAGAAAGAGTGTTTCGAAACTGCTGTTTCAAAAGGAATCTTCAACTCTGTGAGTTGAATGCAATCATCACAAAGAAGTTTCTGACAATGCTTCTCTCTCGTCTTTCTGTGAAGATAAAGGAAAAGGCTTTCAGGCCTTTTCCACCACAGGCCTGAAAGCGCTCCAAATGTCCACTTGCAGATTCTGCCAAAAGAATATTTCAAAACTGCTCTATGAAAAGCAATGTTAAACTCTGTGGCTCGAACACAAACATCACAAAGCAGTTTCTGAGAATGCTTCAGTTTAGTTTTTCTGTGGAAATATTCCCGTTTCCAAAGAAATCTTCAAAGAGGTCCACGCATCCACTTACAGATTCTACAAAAAGACAGTTTCAAAACTGCTCAATCAAAAGGAGGGTTCAACTGTGTGACTTGAATGCAATCATCACTCAGAAGTTTCTGAGAACGCTTCTCTTTAGTTTTTACGTGAACATATACCCGTTTCGAACGAAGGCCAGCCAGTGGTCCAAATATCCACTTGCAGATTCTACAGAAAGAGTGTTTCGAACCTGAACTCTCAAAGGCAGGTTCATCTCTGCGAGTTAAATGCATTCATCATGAAGAACTTTCTCAGAGTGTTTGTGTTTAGTTATGGGAAATTATTCCCGTTTCCAACGAAATCCTCAGAGAGCTCCAAATATCCACCTGCAGATTCTACCAAAAGTGTATTTGGAAACTGCTCCATCAAAAGGCATGTTCAGCTCTGTGAGTGAAACTCCATCATCACAAAGAATATTCTGAGAATGCTTCCGTTTGCCTTTTATATGAAGTTCCTTCCTGTACTACCGTAGGCCTCAAAGCAGTCCAAATCTCCATTTGCAGATTCTATAAAAAGAGTGATTCCAATCTGCTCTATCAATAGGATTGTTCAACTCCATGAGTTGAATGCCATCCTCACAAAGTAGTTTCTGAGAATGCTTCTATCTGGTTTTTGTGTGAAGATATTTCCTTTTCCACCACAGGCCTCAAAGCCCTCCAAACGTCCACTTGCAGATTCTCGAAAAAGAGTGTTTCATAGCTGCTCTTTCAAAAGGAAAGTTCAACTCTGGGAGTTGAATACAAACATCACAAAATAGTTTCCGAGAATGCTTCTGTTTAGTTTTTATGTGAAGATGATCCCGTTTCCAGTGAAATCTTCAAAGAGGTCCACATATCCCCTTGCAGATTCCAAAGAAAGAGGGTTTCAAAACTGCTCCATCAGAGGATTGTTCAACTCTGTGAGTTGAATGCAGTCATCGCAGAAAACTTTCTGAGAATGCTTCTGTCTAGGTTTGATGTGAAGATATAGACGTTTCAAACGAAGGCTACAAAGTGGTCAAAATATACACTTGCAGATTCTACTACAAGGGTGTTGCAAACCTGAACTATCAAAGGAAGGTTCAACTCTGTGAGTTGAATACAAACATCACAAAGAATGTTCTGAGTTTGCTTCCGTTCAGTTATGGGAAGTTGATCCCGTTTCCAACGAAATCCTCAGAGAGGTCCAAATATCCCCTTGCAGATTCTACAAAACGTGTGTTTGGAAACTGCTCCATCATAACGAATGTTCAGCTCCCTGAGTTAAACTCCATCGTCACAAAGAATTTTCTGAGAGTGCTACCGTCTGGTTTTTATATGAAGTTCTTTCCTTCACTACCACAGGCCTCAAAGCGGTCCAAATCTCCACTTGCAGATTCTACAAAAAGAGTGTTTGCAAACTGCTCTATCAAAAGGAATGTTCAACTCTGGGAGTTGAATGCAATCATCACAGAGCAGTTTCTGAGAATGCTTCTATGTCGTTTTTAGGAGAAGATATTTCCTTTTCCAACACAGTCCTCCAAGCCCGCTAAATAGCCACTTGCACATTGTAGAAAAAGTGTGTCGAAGCTGCGCTATCAAAGGGAAAGTTCAACTCTGTGAGGTGAATGCAAACATCCCAAAGAAGTTTCTGAGAATGCTTCCGTTTAGCTTTTAGGTGAAGATTATCCCGTTTCCAACGAAACCTTCAAAGAGGTCCAAATATCCCCTTGCGGATCCCACAGAAAGAGTGTTTCGAAACTGCTGTTTCAAAAGGAATCTTCAACTCTGTGAGTTGAATGCAATCATCACAAAGAAGTTTCTGACAATGCTTCTCTCTCGTCTTTCTGTGAAGATAAAGGAAAAGGCTTTCAGGCCTTTGCCACCACAGGCCTGAAAGCGCTCCAAATGTCCACTTGCAGATTCTGCCAAAAGAATATTTCAAAACTGCTCTATGAAAAGCAATGTTAAACTCTGTGGCTCGAACACAAACATCACAAAGCAGTTTCTGAGAATGCTTCAGTTTAGTTTTTCTGTGGAAATATTCCCGTTTCCAAAGAAATCTTCAAAGAGGTCCACGTATCCACTTACAGATTCTACAAAAAGACAGTTTCAAAACTGCTCCATCAAAAGGAGGGTTCAACTGTGTGACTTGAATGCAATCATCACTCAGAAGTTTCTGAGAATGCTTCTCTTTAGTTTTTACGTGAACATATACCCGTTTCGAACGAAGGCCACCCAGTGGTCCAAATATCCACTTGCAGATTCTACAGAAAGAGTGTTTCGAACCTGAACTCTCAAAGGCAGGTTCATCTCTGCGAGTTAAATGCATTCATCATGAAGAACTTTCTCAGAGTGTTTGTGCTTAGTTATGGGAAATTATTCCCGTTTCCAACGAAATCCTCAGAGTGGTCCAAATATCCACCTGCAGATTCTACCAAAAGTGTATTTGGAAACTGCTCCATCAAAAGGCATGTTCAGCTCTGTGAGTGAAACTCCATCATCACAAAGAATATTCTGAGAATGCTTCCGTTTGCCTTTTATATGAAGTTCCTTCCTATACGACCGTAGGCCTCAAAGCAGTCCAAATCTCCATTTGCAGATTCTACAAAAAGAGTGATTCCAATCTGCTGTATCAATAGGATTGTTCAACTCCATGAGTTGAAAGCCATCCTCACGAAGTAGTTTCTGAGAATGCTTCTATCTAGTTTTTATGTGAAGATATTTCCTTTTCCACCACAGGCCTCAAAGCCTTCCAAACGTCCACTTGCAGATTCTCGAAAAAGAGTGTTTCATAGCTGCTCTTTCAAAAGGAAAGTTCAACTCTGGGAGTTGAATACAAACATCACAAAGTAGTTTCCGAGAATGCTTCTGTTTAGTTTTTATGTGAAGATGATCCCGTTTCCAGTGAAATCTTCAAAGAGGTCCACATATCCCCTTGCAGATTCCAAAGAAAGAGGGTTTCAAAACTGCTCCATCAGAAGGATTGTTCAACTCTGTGAGTTGAATGCAGTCATCGCAGAAAACTTTCTGAGAATGCTTCTGTCTAGGTTTGATGTGAAGATATAGACGTTTCAAATGAAGGCTACAAAGTGGTCAAAATATACACTTGCAGATTCTACTACAAGGGTGTTGCAAACCTGAACTATCAAAGGAAGGTTCAACTCTGTGAGTTGAATACAAACATCACAAAGAATGTTCTGAGTTTGCTTCCGTTCAGTTATGGGAAGTTGATCCCGTTTCCAACGAAATCCTCAGAGAGGTCCAAATATCCCCTTGCAGATTCTACAAAACGTGTGTTTGGAAACTGCTCCATCATAACGAATGTTCAGCTCCCTGAGTTAAACTCCATCGTCACAAAGAATTTTCTGAGAGTGCTACCGTCTGGTTTTTATATGAAGTTCTTTCCTTCACTACCACAGGCCTCAAAGCGGTCCAAATCTCCACTTGCAGATTCTACAAAAAGAGTGTTTGCAAACTGCTCTATCAAAAGGAATGTTCAACTCTGGGAGTTGAATGCAATCATCACAGAGCAGTTTCTGAGAATGCTTCTATGTCGTTTTTAGGAGAAGATATTTCCTTTTCCAACACAGTCCTCCAAGCCCGCTAAATAGCCACTTGCACATTGTAGAAAACGTGTGTCAAAGCTGCGCTATCAAAGGGAAAGTTCAACTCTGTGAGGTGAATGCAAACATCCCAAAGAAGTTTCTGAGAATGCTTCCGTTTAGCTTTTAGGTGAAGATTATCCCGTTTCCAACGAAACCTTCAAAGAGGTCCAAATATCCCCTTGCGGATCCCACAGAAAGAGAGTTTCGAAACTGCTGTTTCAAAAGGAATCTTCAACTCTGTGAGTTGAATGCAATCATCACAAAGAAGTTTCTGACAATGCTTCTCTCTCGTCTTTCTGTGAAGATAAAGGAAAAGGCTTTCAGGCCTTTTCCACCACAGGCCTGAAAGCGCTCCAAATGTCCACTTGCAGATTCTGCCAAAAGAATATTTCAAAACTGCTCTATGAAAAGCAATGTTAAACTCTGCGGCTCGAACACAAACATCACAAAGCGGTTTCTGAGAATGCTTCAGTTTAGTTTTTCTGTGGAAATATTCCCGTTTCCAAAGAAATCTTCAAAGAGGTCCACGTATCCACTTACAGATTCTACAAAAAGACAGTTTCAAAACTGCTCCATCAAAAGGAGGGTTCAACTGTGTGACTTGAATGCAATCATCACTCACAAGTTTCTGAGAATGCTTCTCTTTAGCTTTTACGTGAACATATACCCGTTTCGAACGAAGGCCACCCAGTGGTCCAAATATCCACTTGCAGATTCTACAGAAAGAGTGTTTCGAACCTGAACTCTCAAAGGCAGGTTCATCTCTGCGAGTTAAATGCATTCATCATGAAGAACTTTCTCAGAGTGTTTGTGTTTAGTTATGGGAAATTATTCCCGTTTCCAACGAAATCCTCAGAGAGCTCCAAATATCCACCTGCAGATTCTACCAAAAGTGTATTTGGAAACTGCTCCATCAAAAGGCATGTTCAGCTCTGTGAGTGAAACTCCATCATCACAAAGAATATTCTGAGAATGCTTCCGTTTGCCTTTTATATGAAGTTCCTTCCTATACGACCGTAGGCCTCAAAGCAGTCCAAATCTCCATTTGCAGATTCTACAAAAAGAGTGATTCCAATCTGCTCTATCAATAGGATTGTTCAACTCCATGAGTTGAATGCCATCCTCACAAAGTCGTTTCTGAGAATGCTTCTATCTAGTTTTTATGTGAAGATATTTCCTTTTCCACCACAGGCCTCAAAGCCCTCCAAACGTCCACTTGCAGATTCTCGAAAAAGAGTGTTTCATAGCTGCTCTTTCAAAAGGAAAGTTCAACTCTGGGAGTTGAATACAAACATCACAAAGTAGTTTCCGAGAATGCTTCTGTTTAGTTTTTATGTGAAGATGATCCCGTTTCCAGTGAAATCTTCAAAGAGGTCCACATATCCCCTTGCAGATTCCAAAGAAAGAGGGTTTCAAAACTGCTCCATCAGAAGGATTGTTCAACTCTGTGAGTTGAATGCAGTCATCGCAGAAAACTTTCTGAGAATGCTTCTGTCTAGGTTTGATGTGAAGATATAGACGTTTCAAACGAAGGCTACAAAGTGGTCAAAATATACACTTGCAGATTCTACTACAAGGGTGTTGCAAACCTGAACTATCAAAGGAAGGTTCAAATCTGTGAATTGAATACAAACATCACAAAGAATGTTCTGAGTTTGCTTCCGTTCAGTTATGGGAAGTTGATCCCGTTTCCAACGAAATCCTCAGAGAGGTCCAAATATCCCCTCGCAGATTCTACAAAACGTGTGTTTGGAAACTGCTCCATCATAACGAATGTTCAGCTCCCTGAGTTAAACTCCATCGTCACAAAGAATTTTCTGAGAGTGCTACCGTCTGGTTTTTATATGAAGTTCTTTCCTTCACTACCACAGGCCTCAAAGCGGTCCAAATCTCCACTTGCAGATTCTACAAAAAGAGTGTTTGCAAACTGCTCTATCAAAAGGAATGTTCAACTCTGGGAGTTGAATGCAATCATCACAGAGCAGTTTCTGAGAATGCTTCTATGTCGTTTTTAGAAGATATTTCCTTTTCCAACACAGTCCTCCAAGCCTGCTAAATAGCCACTTGCACATTGTAGAAAAAGTGTGTCAAAGCTGCGCTATCAAAGGGAAAGTTCAACTCTGTGAGGTGAATGCAAACATCCCAAAGAAGTTTCTGAGAATGCTTCCATTTAGCTTTTAGGTGAAGATTATCCCGTTTCCAACGAAACCTTCAAAGAGGTCCAAATATCCCCTTGCGGATCCCACAGAAAGAGTGTTTCGAAACTGCTGTTTCAAAAGGAATCTTCAACTCTGTGAGTTGAATGCAATCATCACAAAGAAGTTTCTGACAATGCTTCTCTCTCGTCTTTCTGTGAAGATAAAGGAAAAGGCTTTCAGGCCTTTTCCACCACAGGCCTGAAAGCGCTCCAAATGTCCACTTGCAGATTCTGCCAAAAGAATATTTCAAAACTGCTCTATGAAAAGCAATGTTAAACTCTGCGGCTCGAACACAAACATCACAAAGCGGTTTCTGAGAATGCTTCAGTTTAGTTTTTCTGTGGAAATATTCCCGTTTCCAAAGAAATCTTCAAAGAGGTCCACGTATCCACTTACAGATTCTACAAAAAGACAGTTTCAAAACTGCTCCATCAAAAGGAGGGTTCAACCGTGTGACTTGAATGCAATCATCACTCAGAAGTTTCTGAGAATGCTTCTCTTTAGTTTTTACGTGAACATATACCCGTTTCGAACGAAGGCCACCCAGTGGTCCAAATATCCACTTGCAGATTCTACAGAAAGAGTGTTTCGAACCTGAACTCTCAAAGGCAGGTTCATCTCTGCGAGTTAAATGCATTCATCATGAAGAACTTTCTCAGCGTGTTTGTGTTTAGGTATGGGAAATTATTCCCGTTTCCAACGAAATCCTCAAAGAGCTCCAAATATCCACCTGCAGATTCTACCAAAAGTGTATTTGGAAACTGCTCCATCAAAAGGCATGTTCAGCTCTGTGAGTGAAACTCCATCATCACAAAGAATATTCTGAGAATGCTTCCGTTTGCCTTTTATATGAAGTTCCTTCCTGTACTACCGTAGGCCTCAAAGCAGTCCAAATCTCCATTTGCAGATTCTACAAAAAGAGTGATTCCAATCTGCTCTATCAATAGGATTGTTCAACTCCATGAGTTGAATGCCATCCTCACAAAGTCGTTTCTGAGAATGCTTCTATCTGGTTTTTGTGTGAAGATATTTCCTTTTCCACCACAGGCCTCAAAGCCCTCCAAACGTCCACTTGCAGATTCTCGAAAAAGAGTGTTTCATAGCTGCTCTTTCAAAAGGAAAGTTCAACTCTGGGAGTTGAATACAAACATCACAAAATAGTTTCCGAGAATGCTTCTGTTTAGTTTTTATGTGAAGATGATCCCGTTTCCAGTGAAATCTTCAAAGAGGTCCACATATCCCCTTGCAGATTCCAAAGAAAGAGGGTTTCAAAACTGCTCCATCAGAAGGATTGTTCAACTCTGTGAGTTGAATGCAGTCATCGCAGAAAACTTTCTGAGAATGCTTCTGTCTAGGTTTGATGTGAAGATATAGACGTTTCAAACGAAGGCTACAAAGTGGTCAAAATATACACTTGCAGATTCTACTACAAGGGTGTTGCAAACCTGAACTATCAAAGGAAGGTTCAACTCTGTGAGTTGAATACAAACATCACAAAGAATGTTCTGAGTTTGCTTCCGTTCAGTTATGGGAAGTTGATCCCGTTTCCAACGAAATCCTCAGAGAGGTCCAAATATCCCCTTGCAGATTCTACAAAACGTGTGTTTGGAAACTGCTCCATCATAACGAATGTTCAGCTCCCTGAGTTAAACTCCATCGTCACAAAGAATTTTCTGAGAGTGCTACCGTCTGGTTTTTATATGAAGTTCTTTCCTTCACTACCACAGGCCTCAAAGCGGTCCAAATCTCCACTTGCAGATTCTACAAAAAGAGTGTGTGCAAACTGCTCTATCAAAAGGAATGTTCAACTCTGGGAGTTGAATGCAATCATCACAGAGCAGTTTCTGAGAATGCTTCTATGTCGTTTTTAGGAGAAGATATTTCCTTTTCCAACACAGTCCTCCAAGCCCGCTAAATAGCCACTTGCACATTGTAGAAAAAGTGTGTCAAAGCTGCGCTATCAAAGGGAAAGTTCAACTCTGTGAGGTGAATGCAAACATCCCAAAGAAGTTTGCTGAGAATGCTTCCGTTTAGCTTTTAGGTGAAGATTATCCCGTTTCCAACGAAACCTTCAAAGTAGGTCCAAATATCCCCTTGCGGATCCCACAGAAAGAGTGTTTCGAAACTGCTGTTTCAAAAGGAATCTTCAACTCTGTGAGTTGAATGCAATCATCACAAAGAAGTTTCTGACAATGCTTCTCTCTCGTCTTTCTGTGAAGATAAAGGAAAAGGCTTTCAGGCCTTTTCCACCACAGGCCTGAAAGCGCTCCAAATGTCCACTTGCAGATTCTGCCAAAAGAATATTTCAAAACTGCTCTATGAAAAGCAATGTTAAACTCTGTGGCTCGAACACAAACATCACAAAGCAGTTTCTGAGAATGCTTCAGTTTAGTTTTTCTGTGGAAATATTCCCGTTTCCAAAGAAATCTTCAAAGAGGTCCACGTATCCACTTACAGATTCTACAAAAAGACAGTTTCAAAACTGCTCCATCAAAAGGAGGGTTCAACTGTGTGACTTGAATGCAGTCATCACTCAGAAGTTTCTGAGAATGCTTCTCTTTAGTTTTTACGTGAACATATACCCGTTTCGAACGAAGGCCAGCCAGTGGTCCAAATATCCACTTGCAGATTCTACAGAAAGAGTGTTTCGACCCTGAACTCTCAAAGGCAGGTTCATCTCTGCGAGTTAAATGCATTCATCATGAAGAACTTTCTCAGAGTGTTTGTGTTTAGTTATGGGAAATTATTCCCGTTTCCAACGAAATCCTCAGAGAGCTCCAAATATCCACCTGCAGATTCTACCAAAAGTGTATTTGGAAACTGCTCCATCAAAAGGCATGTTCAGCTCTGTGAGTGAAACTCCATCATCACAAAGAATATTCTGAGAATGCTTCCGTTTGCCTTTTATATGAAGTTCCTTCCTGTACTACCGTAGGCCTCAAAGCAGTCCAAATCTCCATTTGCAGATTCTACAAAAAGAGTGATTCCAATCTGCTCTATCAATAGGATTGTTCAACTCCATGAGTTGAATGCCATCCTCACAAAGTAGTTTCTGAGAATGCTTCTATCTGGTTTTTGTGTGAAGATATTTCCTTTTCCACCACAGGCCTCAAAGCCCTCCAAACGTCCACTTGCAGATTCTCGAAAAAGAGTGTTTCATAGCTGCTCTTTCAAAAGGAAAGTTCAACTCTGGGAGTTGAATACAAACATCACAAAATAGTTTCCGAGAATGCTTCTGTTTAGTTTTTATGTGAAGATGATCCCGTTTCCAGTGAAATCTTCAAAGAGGTCCACATATCCCCTTGCAGATTCCAAAGAAAGAGGGTTTCAAAACTGCTCCATCAAAAGGATTGTTCAACTCTGTGAGTTGAATGCAGTCATCGCAGAAAACTTTCTGAGAATGCTTCTGTCTAGGTTTGATGTGAAGATATAGACGTTTCAAACGAAGGCTACAAAGTGGTCAAAATATACACTTGCAGATTCTACTACAAGGGTGTTGCAAACCTGAACTATCAAAGGAAGGTTCAACTCTGTGAGTTGAATACAAACATCACAAAGAATGTTCTGAGTTTGCTTCCGTTCAGTTATGGGAAGTTGATCCCGTTTCCAACGAAATCCTCAGAGAGGTCCAAATATCCCCTTGCAGATTCTACAAAACGTGTGTTTGGAAACTGCTCCATCATAACGAATGTTCAGCTCCCTGAGTTAAACTCCATCGTCACAAAGAATTTTCTGAGAGTGCTACCGTCTGGTTTTTATATGAAGTTCTTTCCTTCACTACCACAGGCCTCAAAGCGGTCCAAATCTCCACTTGCAGATTCTACAAAAAGAGTGTTTGCAAACTGCTCTATCAAAAGGAATGTTCAACTCTGGGAGTTGAATGCAATCATCACAGAGCAGTTTCTGAGAATGCTTCTATGTCGTTTTTAGGAGAAGATATTTCCTTTTCCAACACAGTCCTCCAAGCCCGCTAAATAGCCACTTGCACATTGTAGAAAAAGTGTGTCAAAGCTGCGCTATCAAAGGGAAAGTTCAACTCTGTGAGGTGAATGCAAACATCCCAAAGAAGTTTCTGAGAATGCTTCCGTTTAGCTTTTAGGTGAAGATTATCCCGTTTCCAACGAAACCTTCAAAGAGGTCCAAATATCCCCTTGCGGATCCCACAGAAAGAGTGTTTCGAAACTGCTGTTTCAAAAGGAATCTTCAACTCTGTGAGTTGAATGCAATCATCACAAAGAAGTTTCTGACAATGCTTCTCTCTCGTCTTTCTGTGAAGATAAAGGAAAAGGCTTTCAGGCCCTTTTCCACCACAGGCCTGAAAGCGCTCCAAATGTCCACTTGCAGATTCTGCGAAAAGAATATTTCAAAACTGCTCTATGAAAAGCAATGTTAAACTCTGTGGCTCGAACACAAACATCACAAAGCGGTTTCTGAGAATGCTTCAGTTTAGTTTTTCTGTGGAAATATTCCCGTTTCCAAAGAAATCTTCAAAGAGGTCCACGTATCCACTTACAGATTCTACAAAAAGACAGTTTCAAAACTGCTCCATCAAAAGGAGGGTTCAACTGTGTGACTTGAATGCAATCATCACTCAGAAGTTTCTGAGAATGCTTCTCTTTAGTTTTTACGTGAACATATACCCGTTTCGAACGAAGGCCACCCAGTGGTCCAAATATCCACTTGCAGATTCTACAGAAAGAGTGTTTCGAACATGAACTCTCAAAGGCAGGTTCATCTCTGCGAGTTAAATGCATTCATCATGAAGAACTTTCTCAGAGTGTTTGTGTTTAGTTATGGGAAATTATTCCCGTTTCCAACGAAATCCTCAGAGAGCTCCAAATATCCACCTGCAGATTCTACCAAAAGTGTATTTGGAAACTGCTCCATCAAAAGGCATGTTCCGCTCTGTGAGTGAAACTCCATCATCACAAAGAATATTCTGAGAATGCTTCCGTTTGCCTTTTATATGAAGTTCCTTCCTATACGACCGTAGGCCTCAAAGCAGTCCAAATCTCCATTTGCAGATTCTACAAAAAGAGTGATTCCAATCTGCTCTATCAATAGGATTGTTCAACTCCATGAGTTGAATGCCATCCTCACAAAGTCGTTTCTGAGAATGCTTCTATCTAGTTTTTATGTGAAGATATTTCCTTTTCCACCACAGGCCTCAAATCCCTCCAAACGTCCACTTGCAGATTCTCGAAAAAGAGTGTTTCATAGCTGCTCTTTCAAAAGGAAAGTTCAACTCTGGGAGTTGAATACAAACATCACAAAGTAGTTTCCGAGAATGCTTCTGTTTAGTTTTTATGTGAAGATGATCCCATTTCCAGTGAAATCTTCAAAGAGGTCCACATATCCCCTTGCAGATTCCAAAGAAAGAGGGTTTCAAAACTGCTCCATCAGAAGGATTGTTCAACTCTGTGAGTTGAATGCAGTCATCGCAGAAAACTTTCTGAGAATGCTTCTGTCTAGGTTTGATGTGAAGATATAGACGTTTCAAACGAAGGCTACAAAGTGGTCAAAATATACACTTGCAGATTCTACTACAAGGGTGTTGCAAACCTGAACTATCAAAGGAAGGTTCAACTCTGTGAGTTGAATACAAACATCACAAAGAATGTTCTGAGTTTGCTTCCGTTCAGTTATGGGAAGTTGATCCCGTTTCCAACGAAATCCTCAGAGAGGTCCAAATATCCCCTTGCAGATTCTACAAAACGTGTGTTTGGAAACTGCTCCATCATAACGAATGTTCAGCTCCCTGAGTTAAACTCCATCGTCACAAAGAATTTTCTGAGAGTGCTACCGTCTGGTTTTTATATGAAGCTCTTTCCTTCACTACCACAGGCCTCAAAGCGGTCCAAATCTCCACTTGCAGATTCTACAAAAAGAGTGTTTGCAAACTGCTCTATCAAAAGGAATGTTCAACTCTGGGAGTTGAATGCAATCATCACAGAGCAGTTTCTGAGAATGCTTCTATGTCGTTTTTAGGAGAAGATATTTCCTTTTCCAACACAGTCCCCCAAGCCCGCTAAATAGCCACTTGCACATTGTGGAAAAAGTGTGTCAAAGCTGCGCTATCAAAGGGAAAGTTCAACTCTGTCAGGTGAATGCAAACATCCCAAAGAAGTTTCTGAGAATGCTTCCGTTTAGCTTTTAGGTGAAGATTATCCCGTTTCCAACGAAACCTTCAAAGAGGTCCAAATATCCCCTTGCGGATCCCACAGAAAGAGTGTTTCGAAACTGCTGTTTCAAAAGGAATCTTCAACTCTGTGAGTTGAATGCAATCATCACAAAGAAGTTTCTGACAATGCTTCTCTCTCGTCTTTCTGTGAAGATAAAGGAAAAGGCTTTCAGGCCTTTTCCACCACAGGCCTGAAAGCGCTCCAAATGTCCACTTGCAGATTCTGCCAAAAGAATATTTCAAAACTGCTCTATGAAAAGCAATGTTAAACTCTGTGGCTCGAACACAAACATCACAAAGCGGTTTCTGAGAATGCTTCAGTTTAGTTTTTCTGTGGAAATATTCCCGTTTCCAAAGAAATCTTCAAAGAGGTCCACGTATCCACTTACAGATTCTACAAAAAGACAGTTTCAAAACTGCTCCATCAAAAGGAGGGTTCAACTGTGTGACTTGAATGCAATCATCACTCACAAGTTTCTGAGAATGCTTCTCTTTAGTTTTTACGTGAACATATACCCGTTTCGAACGAAGGCCACCCAGTGGTCCAAATATCCACTTGCAGATTCTACAGAAAGAGTGTTTCGAACCTGAACTCTCAAAGGCAGGTTCATCTCTGCGAGTTAAATGCATTCATCATGAAGAACTTTCTCAGAGTGTTTGTGTTTAGTTATGGGAAATTATTCCCGTTTCCAACGAAATCCTCAGAGAGCTCCAAATATCCACCTGCAGATTCTACCAAAAGTGTATTTGGAAACTGCTCCATCAAAAGGCATGTTCAGCTCTGTGAGTGAAACTCCATCATCACAAAGAATATTCTGAGAATGCTTCCGTTTGCCTTTTATATGAAGTTCCTTCCTATACGACCGTAGGCCTCAAAGCAGTCCAAATCTCCATTTGCAGATTCTACAAAAAGAGTGATTCCAATCTGCTCTATCAATAGGATTGTTCAACTCCATGAGTTGAATGCCATCCTCACAAAGTCGTTTCTGAGAATGCTTCTATCTAGTTTTTATGTGAAGATATTTCCTTTTCCACCACAGGCCTCAAAGCCCTCCAAACGTCCACTTGCAGATTCTCGAAAAAGAGTGTTTCATAGCTGCTCTTTCAAAAGGAAAGTTCAACTCTGGGAGTTGAATACAAACATCACAAAGTAGTTTCCGAGAATGCTTCTGTTTAGTTTTTATGTGAAGATGATCCCGTTTCCAGTGAAATCTTCAAAGAGGTCCACATATCCCCTTGCAGATTCCAAAGAAAGAGGGTTTCAAAACTGCTCCATCAGAAGGATTGTTCAACTCTGTGAGTTGAATGCAGTCATCGCAGAAAACTTTCTGAGAATGCTTCTGTCTAGGTTTGATGTGAAGATATAGACGTTTCAAACGAAGGCTACAAAGTGGTCAAAATATACACTTGCAGATTCTACTACAAGGGTGTTACAAACCTGAACTATCAAAGGATGGTTCAACTCTGTGAGTTGAATACAAACATCACAAAGAATGTTCTGAGTTTGCTTCCGTTCAGTTATGGGAAGTTGATCCCGTTTCCAACGAAATCCTCAGAGAGGTCCAAATATCCCCTCGCAGATTCTACAAAACGTGTGTTTGGAAACTGCTCCATCATAACGAATGTTCAGCTCCCTGAGTTAAACTCCATCGTCACAAAGAATTTTCTGAGAGTGCTACCGTCTGGTTTTTATATGAAGTTCTTTCCTTCACTACCACAGGCCTCAAAGCGGTCCAAATCTCCACTTGCAGATTCTACAAAAAGAGTGTTTGCAAACTGCTCTATCAAAAGGAATGTTCAACTCTGGGAGTTGAATGCAATCATCACAGAGCAGTTTCTGAGAATGCTTCTATGTCGTTTTTAGGAGAAGATATTTCCTTTTCCAACACAGTCCTCCAAGCCCGCTAAATAGCCACTTGCACATTGTAGAAAAAGTGTGTCGAAGCTGCGCTATCAAAGGGAAAGTTCAACTCTGTGAGGTGAATGCAAACATCCCAAAGAAGTTTCTGAGAATGCTTCCGTTTAGCTTTTAGGTGAAGATTATCCCGTTTCCAACGAAACCTTCAAAGAGGTCCAAATATCCCCTTGCGGATCCCACAGAAAGAGTGTTTCGAAACTGCTGTTTCAAAAGGAATCTTCAACTCTGTGAGTTGAATGCAATCATCACAAAGAAGTTTCTGACAATGCTTCTCTCTCGTCTTTCTGTGAAGATAAAGGAAAAGGCTTTCAGGCCTTTGCCACCACAGGCCTGAAAGCGCTCCAAATGTCCACTTGCAGATTCTGCGAAAAGAATATTTCAAAACTGCTCTATGAAAAGCAATGTTAAACTCTGTGGCTCGAACACAAACATCACAAAGCAGTTTCTGAGAATGCTTCAGTTTAGTTTTTCTGTGGAAATATTCCCGTTTCCAAAGAAATCTTCAAAGAGGTCCACGCATCCACTTACAGATTCTACAAAAAGACAGTTTCAAAACTGCTCCATCAAAAGGAGGGTTCAACTGTGTGACTTGAATGCAATCATCACTCAGAAGTTTCTGAGAATGCTTCTCTTTAGTTTTTACGTGAACATATACCCGTTTCGAACGAAGGCCACCCAGTGGTCCAAATATCCACTTGCAGATTATACAGAAAGAGTGTTTCGAACCTGAACTCTCAAAGGCAGGTTCATCTCTGCGAGTTAAATGCATTCATCATGAAGAACTTTCTCAGAGTGTTTGTGTTTAGTTATGGGAAATTATTCCCGTTTCCAACGAAATCCTCAGAGAGCTCCAAATATCCACCTGCAGATTCTACCAAAAGTGTATTTGGAAACTGCTCCATCAAAAGGCATGTTCAGCTCTGTGAGTGAAACTCCATCATCACAAAGAATATTCTGAGAATGCTTCCGTTTGCCTTTTATATGAAGTTCCTTCCTGTACTACCGTAGGCCTCAAAGCAGTCCAAATCTCCATTTGCAGATTCTATAAAAAGAGTGATTCCAATCTGCTCTATCAATAGGATTGTTCAACTCCATGAGTTGAATGCCATCCTCACAAAGTAGTTTCTGAGAATGCTTCTATCTAGTTTTTATGTGAAGATATTTCCTTTTCCACCACAGGCCTCAAAGCCTTCCAAACGTCCACTTGCAGATTCTCGAAAAAGAGTGTTTCATAGCTGCTCTTTCAAAAGGAAAGTTCAACTCTGGGAGTTGAATACAAACATCACAAAGTAGTTTCCGAGAATGCTTCTGTTTAGTTCTTATGTGAAGATGATCCCGTTTCCAGTGAAATCTTCAAAGAGGTCCACATATCCCCTTGCAGATTCCAAAGAAAGAGGGTTTCAAAACTGCTCCATCAAAAGGATTGTTCAACTCTGTGAGTTGAATGCAGTCATCGCAGAAAACTTTCTGAGAATGCTTCTGTCTAGGTTTGATGTGAAGATATAGACGTTTCAAACGAAGGCTACAAAGTGGTCAAAATATACACTTGCAGATTCTACTACAAGGGTTTTGCAAACCTGAACTATCAAAGGAAGGTTCAACTCTGTGAGTTGAATACAAACATAACAAAGAATGTTCTGAGTTTGCTTCCGTTCAGTTATGGGAAGTTGATCCCGTTTCCAACGAAATCCTCAGAGAGGTCCAAATATCCCCTCGCAGATTCTACAAAACGTGTGTTTGGAAACTGCTCCATCATAACGAATGTTCAGCTCCCTGAGTTAAACTCCATCGTCACAAAGAATTTTTCTGAGAGTGCTACCGTCTGGTTTTTATATGAAGTTCTTTCCTTCACTACCACAGGCCTCAAAGCGGTCCAAATCTCCACTTGCAGATTCTACAAAAAGAGTGTTTGCCAAACTGCTCTATCAAAAGGAATGTTCAACACTGGGAGTTGAATGCAATCATCACAGAGCAGTTTCTGAGAATGCTTCTATGTCGTTTTTAGGAGAAGATATTTCCTTTTCCAACACAGTCCTCCAAGCCCGCTAAATAGCCACTTGCACATTGTAGAAAAAGTGTGTCAAAGCTGCGCTATCAAAGGGAAAGTTCAACTCTGTGAGGTGAATGCAAACATCCCAAAGAAGTTTCTGAGAATGCTTCCGTTTAGCTTTTAGGTGAAGATTATCCCGTTTCCAACGAAACCTTCAAAGAGGTCCAAATATCCCCTTGCGGATCCCACAGAAAGAGTGTTTCGAAACTGCTGTTTCAAAAGGAATCTTCAACTCTGTGAGTTGCATGCAATCATCACAAAGAAGTTTCTGACAATGCTTCTCTCTCGTCTTTCTGTGAAGATAAAGGAAAAGGCTTTCAGGCCTTTTCCACCACAGGCCTGAAAGCGCTCCAAATGTCCACTTGCAGATTCTGCCAAAAGAATATTTCAAAACTGCTCTATGAAAAGCAATGTTAAACTCTGTGGCTCGAACACAAACATCACAAAGCAGTTTCTGAGAATGCTTCAGTTTAGTTTTTCTGTGGAAATATTCCCGTTTCCAAAGAAATCTTCAAAGAGGTCCACGTATCCACTTACAGATTCTACAAAAAGACAGTTTCAAAACTGCTCCATCAAAAGGAGGGTTCAACTGTGTGACTTGAATGCAATCATCACTCAGAAGTTTCTGAGAATGCTTCTCTTTAGTTTTTACGTGAACATATACCCGTTTCGAACGAAGGCCAGCCAGTGGTCCAAATATCCACTTGCAGATTCTACAGAAAGAGTGTTTCGAACCTGAACTCTCAAAGGCAGGTTCATCTCTGCGAGTTAAATGCATTCATCATGAAGAACTTTCTCAGAGTGTTTGTGTTTAGTTATGGGAAATTATTCCCGTTTCCAACGAAATCCTCAGAGAGCTCCAAATATCCACCTGCAGATTCTACCAAAAGTGTATTTGGAAACTGCTCCATCAAAAGGCATGTTCAGCTCTGTGAGTGAAACTCCATCATCACAAAGAATATTCTGAGAATGCTTCCGTTTGCCTTTTATATGAAGTTCCTTCCTGTACTACCGTAGGCCTCAAAGCAGTCCAAATCTCCATTTGCAGATTCTATAAAAAGAGTGATTCCAATCTGCTCTATCAATAGGATTGTTCAACTCCATGAGTTGAATGCCATCCTCACAAAGTAGTTTCTGAGAATGCTTCTATCTGGTTTTTGTGTGAAGATATTTCCTTTTCCACCACAGGCCTCAAAGCCCTCCAAACGTCCACTTGCAGATTCTCGAAAAAGAGTGTTTCATAGCTGCTCTTTCAAAAGGAAAGTTCAACTCTGGGAGTTGAATACAAACATCACAAAGTAGTTTCCGAGAATGCTTCTGTTTAGTTTTTATGTGAAGATGATCCCGTTTCCAGTGAAATCTTCAAAGAGGTCCACATATCCCCTTGCAGATTCCAAAGAAAGAGGGTTTCAAAACTGCTCCATCAGAAGGATTGTTCAACTCTGTGAGTTGAATGCAGTCATCGCAGAAAACTTTCTGAGAATGCTTCTGTCTAGGTTTGATGTGAAGATATAGACGTTTCAAATGAAGGCTACAAAGTGGTCAAAATATACACTTGCAGATTCTACTACAAGGGTGTTGCAAACCTGAACTATCAAAGGAAGGTTCAACTCTGTGAGTTGAATACAAACATCACAAAGAATGTTCTGAGTTTGCTTCCGTTCAGTTATGGGAAGTTGATCCCGTTTCCAACGAAATCCTCAGAGAGGTCCAAATATCCCCTCACAGATTCTACAAAACTTGTGTTTGGAAACTGCTCCATCATAACGAATGTTCAGCTCCCTGAGTTAAACTCCATCGTCACAAAGAATTTTCTGAGAGTGCTACCGTCTGGTTTTTATATGAAGTTCTTTCCTTCACTACCACAGGCCTCAAAGCGGTCCAAATCTCCACTTGCAGATTCTACAAAAAGAGTGTTTGCAAACTGCTCTATCAAAAGGAATGTTCAACTCTGGGAGTTGAATGCAATCATCACAGAGCAGTTTCTGAGAATGCTTCTATGTCGTTTTTAGAAGATATTTCCTTTTCCAACACAGTCCTCCAAGCCCGCTAAATAGCCACTTGCACATTGTAGAAAAAGTGTGTCAAAGCTGCGCTATCAAAGGGAAAGTTCAACTCTGTGAGGTGAATGCAAACATCCCAAAGAAGTTTCTGAGAATGCTTCCGTTTAGCTTTTAGGTGAAGATTATCCCGTTTCCAACGAAACCTTCAAAGAGGTGCAAATATCCCCTTGCGGATCCCACAGAAAGAGTGTTTCGAAACTGCTGTTTCAAAAGGAATCTTCAACTCTGTGAGTTGAATGCAATCATCACAAAGAAGTTTCTGACAATGCTTCTCTCTCGTCTTTCTGTGAAGATAATGGAAAAGGCTTTCAGGCCTTTTCCACCACAGGCCTGAAAGCGCTCCAAATGTCCACTTGCAGATTCTGCGAAAAGAATATTTCAAAACTGCTCTATGAAAAGCAATGTTAAACTCTGTGGCTGGAACACAAACATCACAAAGCGGTTTCTGAGAATGTTTCAGTTTAGTTTTTCTGTGGAAATATTCCCGTTTCCAAAGAAATCTTCAAAGAGGTCCACGTATCCACTTACAGATTCTACAAAAAGACAGTTTCAAAACTGCTCCATCAAAAGGAGGGTTCAACTGTGTGACTTGAATGCAATCATCACTCAGAAGTTTCTGAGAATGCTTCTCTTTAGTTTTTACGTGAACATATACCCGTTTCGAACGAAGGCCACCCAGTGGTCCAAATATCCACTTGCAGATTCTACAGAAAGAGTGTTTCGAACCTGAACTCTCAAAGGCAGGTTCATCTCTGCGAGTTAAATGCATTCATCATGAAGAACTTTCTCAGAGTGTTTGTGTTTAGTTATGGGAAATTATTCCCGTTTCCAACGAAATCCTCAGAGAGCTCCAAATATCCACCTGCAGATTCTACCAAAAGTGTATTTGGAAACTGCTCCATCAAAAGGCATGTTCAGCTCTGTGAGTGAAACTCCATCATCACAAAGAATATTCTGAGAATGCTTCCGTTTGCCTTTTATATGAAGTTCCTTCCTATACGACCGTAGGCCTCAAAGCAGTCCAAATCTCCATTTGCAGATTCTACAAAAAGAGTGATTCCAATCTGCTCTATCAATAGGATTGTTCAACTCCATGAGTTGAATGCCATCCTCACAAAGTAGTTTCTGAGAATGCTTCTATCTGGTTTTTGTGTGAAGATATTTCCTTTTCCACCACAGGCCTCAAAGCCCTCCAAACGTCCACTTGCAGATTCTCGAAAAAGAGTGTTTCATAGCTGCTCTTTCAAAAGGAAAGTTCAACTCTGGGAGTTGAATACAAACATCACAAAATAGTTTCCGAGAATGCTTTCTGTTTAGTTCTTATGTGAAGATGATCCCGTTTCCAGTGAAATCTTCAAAGAGGTCCACATATCCCCTTGCAGATTCCAAAGAAAGAGGGTTTCAAGACTGCTCCATCAAAAGGATTGTTCAACTCTGTGAGTTGAATGCAGTCATCGCAGAAAACTTTCTGAGAATGCTTCTGTCTAGGTTTGAGGTGAAGATATAGACGTTTCAAACGAAGGCTACAAAGTGGTCAAAATATACACTTGCAGATTCTACTACAAGGGTGTTGCAAACCTGAACTATCAAAGGAAGGTTCAACTCTGTGAGTTGAATACAAACATCACAAAGAATGTTCTGAGTTTGCTTCCGTTCAGTTATGGGAAGTTGATCCCGTTTCCAACGAAATCCTCAGAGAGGACCAAATATCCCCTTGCAGATTCTACAAAACGTGTGTTTGGAAACTGCTCCATCATAACGAATGTTCAGCTCTCTGAGTTAAACTCCATCGTCACAAAGAATTTTCTGAGAGTGCTACCGTCTGGTTTTTATATGAAGTTCTTCCCTTTACTACCACAGGCCTCAAAGCGGTCCAAATCTCCACTTGCAGATTCTACAAAAAGAGTGTTTGCAAACTGCTCTATCAAAAGGAATGTTCAACTCTGGGAGTTGAATGCAATCATCACAGAGCAGTTTCTGAGAATGCTTCTATGTCGTTTTTAGGAGAAGATATTTCCTTTTCCAACACAGTCCTCCAAGCCCGCTAAATATCCACTTGCACATTGTAGAAAAAGTGTGTCGAAGCTGCGCTATCAAAGGGAAAGTTCAACTCTGTGAGGTGAATGCAAACATCCCAAAGAAGTTTCTGAGAATGCTTCCGTTTAGCTTTTAGGTGAAGATTATCCCGTTTCCAACGAAATCTTCAAAGAGGTCCAAATATCCCCTTGCGGATCCCACAGAAAGAGTGTTTCGAAACTGCTGTTTCAGAAGGAATCTTCAACTCTGTGAGTTGAATGCAATCATCACAAAGAAGTTTCTGACAATGCTTCTCTCTCGTCTTTCTGTGAAGATAAAGGAAAAGGCTTTCAGGCCTTTTCCACCACAGGCCTGAAAGCGCTCCAAATGTCCACTTGCAGATTCTGCCAAAAGAATATTTCAAAACTGCTCTATGAAAAGCAATGTTAAACTCTGCGGCTCGAACACAAACATCACAAAGCAGTTTCTGAGAATGCTTCAGTTTAGTTTTTCTGTGGAAATATTCCCGTTTCCAAAGAAATCTTCAAAGAGGTCCACGTACCCGCTTACAGATTCTACAAAAAGACAGTTTCAAAACTGCTCAATCAAAAGGAGGGTTCAACCGTGTGACTTGAATGCAATCATCACGCAGAAGTTTCTGAGAATGCTTCTCTTTAGTTTTTACGTGAACATATACCCGTTTCGAACGAAGGCCACCCAGTGGTCCAAATATCCACTTGCAGATTCTACAGAAAGAGTGTTTCGAACCTGAACTCTCAAAGGCAGGTTCATCTCTGCGAGTTCAATGCATTCATCATGAAGAACTTTCTCAGAGTGTTTGTGTTTAGGTATGGGAAATTATTCCCGTTTCCAACGAAATCCTCAGAGAGGTCCAAATATCCACCTGCAGATTCTACCAAAAGTGTATTTGGAAACTGCTCCATCAAAAGGCATGTTCAGCTCTGTGAGTGAAACTCCATCATCACAAAGAATATTCTGAGAATGCTTCCGTTTGCCTTTTATATGAAGTTCCTTCCTATACGACCGTAGGCCTCAAAGCAGTCCAAATCTCCATTTGCAGATTCTACAAAAAGAGTGATTCCAATCTGCTCTATCAATAGGATTGTTCAACTCCATGAGTTGAATGCCATCCTCACAAAGTCGTTTCTGAGAATGCTTCTATCTAGTTTTTATGTGAAGATATTTCCTTTTCCACCACAGGCCTCAAAGCCCTCCAAACGTCCACTTGCAGATTCTCGAAAAAGAGTGTTTTATAGCTGCTCTTTCAAAAGGAAAGTTCAACTCTGGGAGTTGAATACAAACATCACAAAGTAGTTTCCGAGAATGCTTCTGTTTAGTTTTTATGTGAAGATGATCCCGTTTCCAGTGAAATCTTCAAAGAGGTCCACATATCCCCTTGCAGATTCCAAAGAAAGAGGGTTTCAAAACTGCTCCATCAGAAGGATTGTTCAACTCTGTGAGTTGAATGCAGTCATCGCAGAAAACTTTCTGAGAATGCTTCTGTCTAGGTTTGATGTGAAGATATAGATGTTTCAAACGAAGGCTACAAAGTGGTCAAAATATACACTTGCAGATTCTACTACAAGGGTGTTGCAAACCTGAACTATCAAAGGAAGGTTCAACTCTGTGAGTTGAATACAAACATCACAAAGAATGTTCTGAGTTTGCTTCCGTTCAGTTATGGGAAGTTGATCCCGTTTCCAACGAAATCCTCAGAGAGGTCCAAATATCCCCTTTCAGATTCTACAAAACGTGTGTTTGGAAACTGCTCCATCATAACGAATGTTCAGCTCCCTGAGTTAAACTCCATCGTCACAAAGAATTTTCTGAGAGTGCTACCGTCTGGTTTTTATATGAAGTTCTTTCCTTCACTACCACAGACCTCAAAGCGGTCCAAATCTCCACTTGCAGATTCTACAAAAAGAGTGTTTGCAAACTGCTCTATCAAAAGGAATGTTCAACTCTGGGAGTTGAATGCAATCATCACAGAGCAGTTTCTGAGAATGCTTCTATGTCGTTTTTAGGAGAAGATATTTCCTTTTCCAACACAGTCCTCCAAGCCCGCTAAATAGCCACTTGCACATTGTAGAAAAAGTGTGTCAAAGCTGCGCTATCAAAGGGAAAGTTCAACTCTGTGAGGTGAATGCAAACATCCCAAAGAAGTTTCTGAGAATGCTTCCGTTTAGCTTTTAGGTGAAGATTATCCCGTTTCCAACGAAAGCTTCAAAGAGGTCCAAATATCCCCTTGCGGATCCCACAGAAAGAGTGTTTCGAAACTGCTGTTTCAAAAGGAATCTTCAACTCTGTGAGTTGAATGCAATCATCACAAAGAAGTTTCTGACAATGCTTCTCTCTCGTCTTTCTGTGAACATAAAGGAAAAGGCGTTCAGGCCTTTGCCACCACAGGCCTGAAAGCGCTCCAAATGTCCACTTGCAGATTCTGCCAAAAGAATATTTCAAAACTGCTCTATGAAAAGCAATGTTAAACTCTGTGGCTCGAACACAAACATCACAAAGCGGTTTCTGAGAATGCTTCAGTTTAGTTTTTCTGTGGAAATATTCCCGTTTCCAAAGAAATCTTCAAAGAGGTCCACGTATCCACTTACAGATTCTACAAAAAGACAGTTTCAAAACTGCTCAATCAAAAGGAGGGTTCAACTGTGTGACTTGAATGCAATCATCACTCAGAAGTTTCTGAGAATGCTTCTCTTTAGTTTTTACGTGAACATATACCCGTTTCGAACGAAGGCCACCCAGTGGTCCAAATGTCCACTTGCAGATTCTACAGAAAGAGTGTTTCGAACCTGAACTCTCAAAGGCAGGTTCATCTCTGCGAGTTAAATGCATTCATCATGAAGAACTTTCTCAGCGTGTTTGTGTTTAGTTATGGGAAATTATTCCCGTTCCCAACGAAATCCTCAGAGAGGTGCAAATGTCCACCTGCAGATTCTACCAAAAGTGTATTTGGAAACTGCTCCATCAACAGGCATGTTCAGCTCTGTGAGTGAAACTCCATCATCACAAAGAATATTCTGAGAATGCTTCCGTTTGCCTTTTATATGAAGTTCCTTCCTATACGACCGTAGGCCTCAAAGCAGTGCAAATCTCCATTTGCAGATTCTACAAAAAGAGTGATTCCAATCTGCTCTATCAATAGGATTGTTCAACTCCATGAGTTGAATGCCATCCTCACAAAGTCGTTTCTGAGAATGCTTCTATCTAGTTTTTATGTGAAGATATTTCCTTTTCCACCACAGGCCTCAAAGCCCTCCAAACGTCCACTTGCAGATTCTCGAAAAAGAGTGTTTCATAGCTGCTCTTTCAAAAGGAAAGTTCAACTCTGGGAGTTGAATACAAACATCACAAAGTAGTTTCCGAGAATGCTTCTGTTTAGTTTTTATGTGAAGATGATCCCGTTTCCAGTGAAATCTTCAAAGAGGTCCACATATCCCCTTGCAGATTCCAAAGAAAGAGGGTTTCAAAACTGCTCCATCAAAAGGATTGTTCAACTCTGTGAGTTGAATGCAGTCATCGCAGAAAACTTTCTGAGAATGCTTCTGTCTAGGTTTGATGTGAAGATATAGATGTTTCAAACGAAGGCTACAAAGTGGTCAAAATATACACTTGCAGATTCTACTACAAGGGTGTTGCAAACCTGAACTATCAAAGGAAGGTTCAACTCTGTGAGTTGAATACAAACATCACAAAGAATGTTCTGAGTTTGCTTCCGTTCAGTTATGGGAAGTTGATCCCGTTTCCAACGAAATCCTCAGAGAGGTCCAAATATCCCCTTGCAGATTCTACAAAACGTGTGTTTGGAAACTGCTCCATCATAACGAATGTTCAGCTCCCTGAGTTAAACTCCATCGTCACAAAGAATTTTCTGAGAGTGCTACCGTCTGGTTTTTATATGAAGTTCTTTCCTTCACTACCACAGGCCTCAAAGCGGTCCAAATCTCCACTTGCAGATTCTACAAAAAGAGTGTTTGCAAACTGCTCTATCAAAAGGAATGTTCAACTCTGGGAGTTGAATGCAATCATCACAGAGCAGTTTCTGAGAATGCTTCTATGTCGTTTTTAGGAGAAGATATTTCCTTTTCCAACACAGTCCTCCAAGCCCGCTAAATAGCCACTTGCACATTGTAGAAAAAGTGTGTCAAAGCTGCGCTATCAAAGGGAAAGTTCAACTCTGTGAGGTGAATGCAAACATCCCAAAGAAGTTTCTGAGAATGCTTCCGTTTAGCTTTTAGGTGAAGATTATCCCGTTTCCAACGAAACCTTCAAAGAGGTCCAAATATCCCCTTGCGGATCCCACAGAAAGAGTGTTTCGAAACTGCTGTTTCAAAAGGAATCTTCAACTCTGTGAGTTGAATGCAATCATCACAAAGAAGTTTCTGACAATGCTTCTCTCTCGTCTTTCTGTGAAGGTAAAGGAAAAGGCTTTCAGGCCTTTTCCACCCACAGGCCTGAAAGCGCTCCAAATGTCCACTTGCAGATTCTGCCAAAAGAATATTTCAAAACTGCTCTATGAAAAGCAATGTTAAACTCTGTGGCTCGAACACAAACATCACAAAGCGGTTTCTGAGAATGCTTCAGTTTAGTTTTTCTGTGGAAATATTCCCGTTTCCAAAGAAATCTTCAAAGAGGTCCACGTATCCACTTACAGATTCTACAAAAAGACAGTTTCAAAACTGCTCCATCAAAAGGAGGGTTCAACTGTGTGACTTGAATGCAATCATCACTCAGAAGTTTCTGAGAATGCTTCTCTTTAGTTTTTACGTGAACATATACCCGTTTCGAACGAAGGCCAGCCAGTGGTCCAAATATCCACTTGCAGATTCTACAGAAAGAGTGTTTCGAACCTGAACTCTCAAAGGCAGGTTCATCTCTGCGAGTTAAATGCATTCATCATGAAGAACTTTCTCAGAGTGTTTGTGTTTAGTTATGGGAAATTATTCCCGTTTCCAACGAAATCCTCAGAGAGCTCCAAATATCCACCTGCAGATTCTACCAAAAGTGTATTTGGAAACTGCTCCATCAAAAGGCATGTTCAGCTCTGTGAGTGAAACTCCATCATCACAAAGAATATTCTGAGAATGCTTCCGTTTGCCTTTTATATGAAGTTCCTTCCTATACTACCGTAGGCCTCAAAGCAGTCCAAATCTCCATTTGCAGATTCTACAAAAAGAGTGATTCCAATCTGCTCTATCAATAGGATTGTTCAACTCCATGAGTTGAATGCCATCCTCACAAAGTCGTTTCTGAGAATGCTTCTATCTAGTTTTTATGTGAAGATATTTCCTTTTCCACCACAGGCCTCAAAGCCCTCCAAACGTCCACTTGCAGATTCTCGAAAAAGAGTGTTTCATAGCTGCTCTTTCAAAAGGAAAGTTCAACTCTGGGAGTTGAATACAAACATCACAAAGTAGTTTCCGAGAATGCTTCTGTTTAGTTCTTATGTGAAGATGATCCCGTTTCCAGTGAAATCTTCAAAGAGGTCCACATATCCCCTTGCAGATTCCAAAGAAAGAGGGTTTCAAAACTGCTCCATCAAAAGGATTGTTCAACTCTGTGAGTTGAATGCAGTCATCGCAGAAAACTTTCTGAGAATGCTTCTGTCTAGGTTTGATGTGAAGATATAGACGTTTCAAACGAAGGCTACATAGTGGTCAACATATACACTTGCAGATTCTACTACAAGGGTGATGCAAACCTGAACTATCAAAGGAAGGTTCAACTCTGTGAGTTGAATACAAACATCACAAAGAATGTTCTGAGTTTGCTTCCGTTCAGTTATGGGAAGTTGATCCCGTTTCCAACGAAATCCTCAGAGAGGTCCAAATATCCCCTTGCAGATTCTACAAAACGTGTGTTTGGAAACTGCTCCATCATAACGAATGTTCAGCTCCCTGAGTTAAACTCCATCGTCACAAAGAATTTTCTGAGAGTGCTACCGTCTAGTTTTTATAGGAAGTTCTTTCCTTTACTACCACAGGCCTCAAAGCGGTCCAAATCTCCACTTGCAGATTCTACAAAAAGAGTGTTTGCAAACTGCTCTATCAAAAGGAATGTTCAACTCTGGGAGTTGAATGCAATCATCACAGAGCAGTTTCTGAGAATGCTTCTATGTCGTTTTTAGGAGAAGATATTTCCTTTTCCAACACAGTCCTCCAAGCCCGCTAAATATCCACTTGCACATTGTAGAAAAAGTGTGTCAAAGCTGCGCTATCAAAGGGAAAGTTCAACTCTGTGAGGTGAATGCAAACATCCCAAAGAAGTTTCTGAGAATGCTTCCGTTTAGCTTTTAGGTGAAGATTATCCCGTTTCCAACGAAATCTTCAAAGAGGTCCAAATATCCCCTTGCGGATCCCACAGAAAGAGTGTTTCGAAACTGCTGTTTCAAAAGGAATCTTCAACTCTGTGAGTTGAATGCAATCATCACAAAGAAGTTTCTGACAATGCTTCTCTCTCGTCTTTCTGTGAAGATAAAGGAAAAGGCTTTCAGGCCTTTTCCACCACAGGCCTGAAAACGCTCTAAATGTCCACTTGCAGATTCTGCCAAAAGAATATTTCAAAAGTGCTCTATGAAAAGCAATGTTAAACTCTGCGGCTCGAACACCAACATCACAAAGCAGTTTCTGAGAATGCTTCAGTTTAGTTTTTCTGTGGAAATATTCCCGTTTCCAAAGAAATCTTCCAAGAGGTCCACGAATCCACTTACAGATTCTACAAAAAGACAGTTTCAAAACTGCTCAATCAAAAGGCGGGTTCAACTGTGTGACTTGAATGCAATCATCACTCAGAAGTTTCTGAGAATGCTTCTCTTTAGTTTTTACGTGAACATATACCCGTTTCGAACGAAGGCCAGCCAGTGGTCCAAATATCCACTTGCAGATTCTACAGAAAGAGTGTTTCGAACCTGAACTCTCAAAGGCAAGTTCATCTCTGCGAGTTAAATGCATTCATCATGAAGAACTTTCTCAGAGTGTTTGTGTTTAGTTATGGGAAATTATTCCCGTTTCCAACGAAATCCTCAGAGAGGTCCAAATATCCACCTGCAGATTCTACCAAAAGTGTATTTGGAAACTGCTCCATCAAAAGGCATGTTCAGCTCTGTGAGTGAAACTCCATCATCACAAAGAATATTCTGAGAATGCTTCCGTTTGCCTTTTATATGAAGTTCCTTCCTATACTACCGTAGGCCCCAAAGCAGTCCAAATCTCCATTTGCAGATTCTACAAAAAGAGTGATTCCAATCTGCTCTCTCAATGGGATTGTTCAACTCCATGAGTTGAATGCCATCCTCACAAAGTCGTTTCTGAGAATGCTTCTATCTAGTTTTTATGTGAAGATATTTCCTTTTCCACCACAGGCCTCAAAGCCCTCCAAACGTCCACTTGCAGATCCTCGAAAAAGAGTGTTTCATAGCTGCTCTTTCAAAAGGAAAGTTCAACTCTGGGAGTTGAATACAAACATCACAAAGTAGTTTCCGAGAATGCTTCTGTTTAGTTTTTATGTGAAGATGATCCCGTTTCCAGTGAAATCTTCAAAGAGGTCCACATATCCCCTTGCAGATTCCAAAGAAAGAGGGTTTCAAAACTGCTCCATCAGAAGGATTGTTCAACTCTGTGAGTTGAATGCAGTCATCGCAGAAAACTTTCTGAGAATGCTTCTTTCTAGGTTTGATGTGAAGATATAGACGTTTCAAACGAAGGCTACAAAGTGGTCAAAATATACACTTGCAGATTCTACTACAAGGGTGTTGCAAACCTGAACTATCAAAGGAAGGTTCAACTCTGTGAGTTGAATACAAACATCACAAAGAATGTTCTGAGTTTGCTTCCGTTCAGTTATGGGAAGTTGATCCCGTTTCCAACGAAATCCTCAGAGAGGTCCAAATATCCCCTTGCAGATTCTACAAAAGGTGTGTTTGGAAACTGCTCCATCATAACGAATGTTCAGCTCCCTGAGTTAAACTCCATCCTCACAAAGAATTTTCTGAGAGTGCTACCGTATGGTTTTTATATGAAGTTCTTTCCTTCACTACCACAGGCCTCAAAGCGGTCCAAGTCTCCACTTGCAGATTCTACAAAAAGAGTGTTTGCAAACTGCTCTATCAAAAGGAATGTTCAACTCTGGGAGTTGAATGCAATCATCACAGAGCAGTTTCTGAGAATGCTTCTATGTCGTTTTTAGGAGAAGATATTTCCTTTTCCAACACAATCCTCCAAGCCCGCTAAATAGCCACTTGCACATTGTAGAAAAAGTGTGTCAAAGCTGCGCTATCAAAGGGAAAGTTCAACTCTGTGAGGTGAATGCAAACATCCCAAAGAAGTTTCTGAGAATGCTTCCGTTTAGCTTTTAGGTGAAGATTATCCCGTTTCCAACGAAACCTTCAAAGAGGTCCAAATATCCCCTTGCGGATCCCACAGAAAGAGTGTTTCGAAACTGCTGTTTCAAAAGGAATCTTCAACTCTGTGAGTTGAATGCAATCATCACAAAGAAGTTTCTGACAATGCTTCTCTCTCGTCTTTCTGTGAAGATAAAGGAAAAGGCTTTCAGGCCTTTTCCACCACAGGCCTGAAAGCGCTCCAAATGTCCACTTGCAGATTCTGCCAAAAGAATATTTCAAAACTGCTCTATGAAAAGCAATGTTAAACTCTGTGGCTGGAACACAAACATCACAAAGCGGTTTCTGAGAATGTTTCAGTTTAGTTTTTCTGTGGAAATATTCCCGTTTCCAAAGAAATCTTCAAAGAGGTCCACGTATCCACTTACAGATTCTACAAAAAGACAGTTTCAAAACTGCTCCATCAAAAGGAGGGTTCAACTGTGTGACTTGAATGCAATCATCACTCAGAAGTTTCTGAGAATGCTTCTCTTTAGTTTTTACGTGAACATATACCCGTTTCGAACGAAGGCCACCCAGTGGTCCAAATATCCACTTGCAGATTCTACAGAAAGAGTGTTTCGAACCTGAACTCTCAAAGGCAGGTTCATCTCTGCGAGTTAAATGCATTCATCATGAAGAACTTTCTCAGAGTGTTTGTGTTTAGTTATGGGAAATTATTCCCGTTTCCAACGAAATCCTCAGAGAGCTCCAAATATCCACCTGCAGATTCTACCAAAAGTGTATTTGGAAACTGCTCCATCAAAAGGCATGTTCAGCTCTGTGAGTGAAACTCCATCATCACAAAGAATATTCTGAGAATGCTTCCGTTTGCCTTTTATCTGAAGTTCCTTCCTATACGACCGTAGGCCTCAAAGCAGTCCAAATCTCCATTTGCAGATTCTACAAAAAGAGTGATTCCAATCTGCTCTATCAATAGGATTGTTCAACTCCATGAGTTGAATGCCATCCTCACAAAGTCGTTTCTGAGAATGCTTCTATCTAGTTTTTATGTGAAGATATTTCCTTTTCCACCACAGGCCTCAAAGCCCTCCAAACGTCCACTTGCAGATTCTCGAAAAAGAGTGTTTCATAGCTGCTCTTTCAAAAGGAAAGTTCAACTCTGGGAGTTGAATACAAACATCACAAAGTAGTTTCCGAGAATGCTTCTGTTTAGTTTTTATGTGAAGATGATCCCGTTTCCAGTGAAATCTTCAAAGAGGTCCACATATCCCCTTGCAGATTCCAAAGAAAGAGGGTTTCAAAACTGCTCCATCAGAAGGATTGTTCAACTCTGTGAGTTGAATGCAGTCATCGCAGAAAACTTTCTGAGAATGCTTCTGTCTAGGTTTGATGTGAAGATATAGACGTTTCAAACGAAGGCTACAAAGTGGTCAAAATATACACTTGCAGATTCTACTACAAGGGTGTTGCAAACCTGAACTATCAAAGGAAGGTTCAACTCTGTGAGTTGAATACAAACATCACAAAGAATGTTCTGAGTTTGCTTCCGTTCAGTTATGGGAAGTTGATCCCGTTTCCAACGAAATCCTCAGAGAGGTCCAAATATCCCCTTGCAGATTCTACAAAACGTGTGTTTGGAAACTGCTCCATCATAACGAATGTTCAGCTCCCTGAGTTAAACTCCATCGTCACAAAGAATTTTCTGAGAGTGCTACCGTCTGGTTTTTATATGAAGTTCTTTCCTTCACTACCACAGGCCTCAAAGCGGTCCAAATCTCCACTTGCAGATTCTACAAAAAGAGTGTTTGCAAACTGCTCTATCAAAAGGAATGTTCAACTCTGGGAGTTGAATGCAATCATCACAGAGCAGTTTCTGAGAATGCTTCTATGTCGTTTTTAGGAGAAGATATTTCCTTTTCCAACACAGTCCTCCAAGCCCGCTAAATAGCCACTTGCACATTGTAGAAAAAGTGTGTCAAAGCTGCGCTATCAAAGGGAAAGTTCAACTCTGTGAGGTGAATGCAAACATCCCAAAGAAGTTTCTGAGAATGCTTCCGTTTAGCTTTTAGGTGAAGATTATCCCGTTTCCAACGAAACCTTCAAAGAGGTCCAAATATCCCCTTGCGGATCCCACAGAAAGAGTGTTTCAAAACTGCTGTTTCAAAAGGAATCTTCAACTCTGTGAGTTGAATGCAATCATCACAAAGAAGTTTCTGACAATGCTTCTCTCTCGTCTTTCTGTGAAGATAAAGGAAAAGGCTTTCAGGCCTTTTCCACCACAGGCCTGAAAGCGCTCCAAATGTCCACTTGCAGATTCTGCGAAAAGAATATTTCAAAACTGCTCTATGAAAAGCAATGTTAAACTCTGTGGCTGGAACACAAACATCACAAAGCGGTTTCTGAGAATGTTTCAGTTTAGTTTTTCTGTGGAAATATTCCCGTTTCCAAAGAAATCTTCAAAGAGGTCCACGTATCCACTTACAGATTCTACAAAAAGACAGTTTCAAAACTGCTCCATCAAAAGGAGGGTTCAACTGTGTGACTTGAATGCAATCATCACTCAGAAGTTTCTGAGAATGCTTCTCTTTAGTTTTTACGTGAACATATACCCGTTTCGAACGAAGGCCACCCAGTGGTCCAAATATCCACTTGCAGATTATACAGAAAGAGTGTTTCGAACCTGAACTCTCAAAGGCAGGTTCATCTCTGCGAGTTAAATGCATTCATCATGAAGAACTTTCTCAGAGTGTTTGTGTTTAGTTATGGGAAATTATTCCCGTTTCCAACGAAATCCTCAGAGAGCTCCAAATATCCACCTGCAGATTCTACCAAAAGTGTATTTGGAAACTGCTCCATCAAAAGGCATGTTCAGCTCTGTGAGTGAAACTCCATCATCACAAAGAATATTCTGAGAATGCTTCCGTTTGCCTTTTATATGAAGTTCCTTCCTGTACTACCGTAGTCCTCAAAGCAGTCCAAATCTCCATTTGCAGATTCTATAAAAAGAGTGATTCCAATCTGCTCTATCAATAGGATTGTTCAACTCCATGAGTTGAATGCCATCCTCACAAAGTAGTTTCTGAGAATGCTTCTATCTGGTTTTTGTGTGAAGATATTTCCTTTTCCACCACAGGCCTCAAAGCCCTCCAAACGTCCACTTGCAGATTCTCGAAAAAGAGTGTTTCATAGCTGCTCTTTCAAAAGGAAAGTTCAACTCTGGGAGTTGAATACAAACATCACAAAGTAGTTTCCGAGAATGCTTCTGTTTAGTTTTTATGTGAAGATGATCGATCCCGTTTCCAGTGAAATCTTCAAAGAGGTCCACATATCCCCTTGCAGATTCCAAAGAAAGAGGGTTTCAAAACTGCTCCATCAGAAGGATTGTTCAACTCTGTGAGTTGAATGCAGTCATCGCAGAAAACTTTCTGAGAATGCTTCTGTCTAGGTTTGATGTGAAGATATAGACGTTTCAAACGAAGGCTACAAAGTGGTCAAAATATACACTTGCAGATTCTACTACAAGGGTGTTGCAAACCTGAACTATCAAAGGAAGGTTCAACTCTGTGAGTTGAATACAAACATCACAAAGAATGTTCTGAGTTTGCTTCCGTTCAGTTATGGGAAGTTGATCCCGTTTCCAACGAAATCCTCAGAGAGGTCCAAATATCCCCTTGCAGATTCTACAAAACGTGTGTTTGGAAACTGCTCCATCATAACGAATGTTCAGCTCCCTGAGTTAAACTCCATCGTCACAAAGAATTTTCTGAGAGTGCTACCGTCTGGTTTTTATATGAAGTTCTTTCCTTCACTACCACAGGCCTCAAAGCGGTCCAAATCTCCACTTGCAGATTCTACAAAAAGAGTGTTTGCAAACTGCTCTATCAAAAGGAATGTTCAACTCTGGGAGTTGAATGCAATCATCACAGAGCAGTTTCTGAGAATGCTTCTATGTCGTTTTTAGGAGAAGATATTTCCTTTTCCAACACAATCCTCCAAGCCCGCTAAATAGCCACTTGCACATTGTAGAAAAAGTGTGTCAAAGCTGCGCTATCAAAGGGAAAGTTCAACTCTGTGAGGTGAATGCAAACATCCCAAAGAAGTTTCTGAGAATGCTTCCGTTTAGCTTTTAGGTGAAGATTATCCCGTTTCCAACGAAACCTTCAAAGAGGTCCAAATATCCCCTTGCGGATCCCACAGAAAGAGTGTTTCGAAACTGCTGTTTCAAAAGGAATCTTCAACTCTGTGAGTTGAATGCAATCATCACAAAGAAGTTTCTGACAATGCTTCTCTCTCGTCTTTCTGTGAAGATAAAGGAAAAGGCTTTCAGGCCTTTGCCACCACAGGCCTGAAAGCGCTCCAAATGTCCACTTGCAGATTCTGCCAAAAGAATATTTCAAAACTGCTCTATGAAAAGCAATGTTAACCTCTGCGGCTCGAACACAAACATCACAAAGCGGTTTCTGAGAATGCTTCAGTTTAGTTTTTCTGTGGAAATATTCCCGTTTCCAAAGAAATCTTCAAAGAGGTCCACGTATCCACTTACAGATTCTACAAAAAGACAGTTTCAAAACTGCTCCATCAAAAGGAGGGTTCAACTGTGTGACTTGAATGCAATCATCACTCAGAAGTTTCTGAGAATGCTTCTCTTTAGTTTTTACGTGAACATATACCCGTTTCGAACGAAGGCCAGCCAGTGGTCCAAATATCCACTTGCAGATTCTACAGAAAGAGTGTTTCGAACATTAACTCTCAAAGGCAGGTTCATCTCTGCGAGTTAAATGCATTCATCATGAAGAACTTTCTCAGAGTGTTTGTGTTTAGTTATGGGAAATTATTCCCGTTTCCAACGAAATCCTCAGAGAGCTCCAAATATCCACCTGCAGATTCTACCAAAAGTGTATTTGGAAACTGCTCCATCAAAAGGCATGTTCAGCTCTGTGAGTGAAACTCCATCATCACAAAGAATATTCTGAGAATGCTTCCGTTTGCCTTTTATATGAAGTTCCTTCCTATACGACCGTAGGCCTCAAAGCAGTCCAAATCTCCATTTGCAGATTCTACAAAAAGAGTGATTCCAATCTGCTCTATCAATAGGATTGTTCAACTCCATGAGTTGAATGCCATCCTCACAAAGTCGTTTCTGAGAATGCTTCTATCTAGTTTTTATGTGAAGATATTTCCTTTTCCACCACAGGCCTCAAAGCCCTCCAAACGTCCACTTGCAGATTCTCGAAAAAGAGTGTTTCATAGCTGCTCTTTCAAAAGGAAAGTTCAACTCTGGGAGTTGAATACAAACATCACAAAGTAGTTTCCGAGAATGCTTCTGTTTAGTTTTTATGTGAAGATGACCCCGTTTCCAGTGAAATCATCAAAGAGGTCCACATATCCCCTTGCAGATTCCAAAGAAAGAGGGTTTCAAAACTGCTCCATCAGAAGGATTGTTCAACTCTGTGAGTTGAATGCAGTCATCGCAGAAAACTTTCTGAGAATGCTTCTTTCTAGGTTTGATGTGAAGATATAGACGTTTCAAACGAAGGCTACAAAGTGGTCAAAATATACACTTGCAGATTCTACTACAAGGGTGTTGCAAACCTGAACTATCAAAGGAAGGTTCAACTCTGTGAGTTGAATACAAACATCACAAAGAATGTTCTGAGTTTGCTTCCGTTCAGTTATGGGAAGTTGATCCCGTTTCCAACGAAATCCTCAGAGAGGTCCAAATATCCCCTCGCAGATTCTACAAAACGTGTGTTTGGAAACTGCTCCATCATAACGAATGTTCAGCTCCCTGAGTTAAACTCCATCGTCACAAAGAATTTTCTGAGAGTGCTACCGTCTGGTTTTTATATGAAGTTCTTTCCTTCACTACCACAGGCCTCAAAGCGGTCCAAATCTCCACTTGCAGATTCTACAAAAAGAGTGTTTGCAAACTGCTCTATCAAAAGGAATGTTCAACTCTGGGAGTTGAATGCAATCATCACAGAGCAGTTTCTGAGAATGCTTCTATGTCGTTTTTAGGAGAAGATATTTCCTTTTCCAACACAGTCCTCCAAGCCCGCTAAATAGCCACTTGCACATTGTAGAAAAAGTGTGTCAAAGCTGCGCTATCAAAGGGAAAGTTCAACTCTGTGAGGTGAATGCAAACATCCCAAAGAAGTTTCTGAGAACGCTTCCGTTTAGCTTTTAGGTGAAGATTATCCCGTTTCCAACGAAACCTTCAAAGAGGTCCAAATATCCCCTTGCGGATCCCACAGAAAGAGTGTTTCGAAACTGCTGTTTCAAAAGGAATCTTCAACTCTGTGAGTTGAATGCAATCATCACAAAGAAGTTTCTGACAATGCTTCTCTCTCGTCTTTCTGTGAAGATAAAGGAAAAGGCTTTCAGGCCTTTGCCACCACAGGCCTGAAAGCGCTCCAAATGTCCACTTGCAGATTCTGCGAAAAGAATATTTCAAAACTGCTCTATGAAAAGCAATGTTAAACTCTGTGGCTCGAACACAAACATCACAAAGCAGTTTCTGAGAATGCTTCAGTTTAGTTTTTCTGTGGAAATATTCCCGTTTCCAAAGAAATCTTCAAAGAGGTCCACGTATCCACTTACAGATTCTACAAAAAGACAGTTTCAAAACTACTCCATCAAAAGGAGGGTTCAACTATGTGACTTGAATGCAATCATCACTCAGAAGTTTCTGAGAATGCTTCTTTTTAGTTTTTATGTGAACATATACCCGTTTCGAACGAAGGCCACCCAGTGGTCCAAATATCCACTTGCAGATTCTACAGAAAGAGTGTTTCGAACCTGAACTCTCAAAGGCAGGTTCATCTCTGCGAGTTAAATGCATTCATCATGAAGAACTTTCTCAGAGTGTTTGTGTTTAGTTATGGGAAATTATTCCTGTTTCCAACGAAATCCTCAGAGAGCTCCAAATATCCACCTGCAGATTCTACCAAAAGTGTATTTGGAAACTGCTCCATCAAAAGGCATGTTCAGCTCTGTGAGTGAAACTCCATCATCACAAAGAATATTCTGAGAATGCTTCCGTTTGCCTTTTATATGAAGTTCCTTCCTATACTACCGTAGGCCTCAAAGCAGTCCAAATCTCCATTTGCAGATTCTACAAAAAGAGTGATTCCAATCTGCTCTATCAATAGGATTGTTCAACTCCATGAGTTGAATTCCATCCTCACAATGTCGTTTGTGAGAATGCTTCTATCTAGTTTTTATGTGAAGATATTTCCTTTTCCACCACAGGCCTCAAAGCCCTCCAAACGTCCACTTGCAGATTCTCGAAAAAGAGTGTTTCATAGCTGCTCTTTCAAAAGGAAAGTTCAACTCTGGGAGTTGAATACAAACATCACAAAGTAGTTTCCGAGAATGCTTCTGTTTAGTTTTTATGTGAAGATGATCCCGTTTCCAGTGAAATCTTCAAAGAGGTCCACATATCCCCTTGCAGATTCCAAAGAAAGAGGGTTTCAAAACTGCTCCATCAGAAGGATTGTTCAACTCTGTGAGTTGAATGCAGTCATCGCAGAAAACTTTCTGAGAATGCTTCTGTCTAGGTTTGATGTGAAGATATAGACGTTTCAAACGAAGGCTACAAAGTGGTCAAAATATACACTTGCAGATTCTACTACAAGGGTGTTGCAAACCTGAACTATCAAAGGAAGGTTCAACTCTGTGAGTTGAATACAAACATCACAAAAAATGTTCTGAGTTTGCTTCCGTTCAGTTATGGGAAGTTGATCCCGTTTCCAACGAAATCCTCAGAGAGGTCCAAATATCCCCTTGCAGATTCTACAAAACGTGTGTTTGGAAACTGCTCCATCATAACGAATGTTCAGCTCCCTGAGTTAAACTCCATCGTCACAAAGAATTTTCTGAGAGTGCTACCGTCTGGTTTTTATATGAAGCTCTTTCCTTCACTACCACAGGCCTCAAAGCGGTCCAAATCTCCACTTGCAGATTCTACAAAAAGAGTGTTTGCAAACTGCTCTATCAAAAGGAATGTTCAACTCTGGGAGTTGAATGCAATCATCACAGAGCAGTTTCTGAGAATGCTTCTATGTCGTTTTTAGGAGAAGATATTTCCTTTTCCAACACAGTCCTCCAAGCCCGCTAAATAGCCACTTGCACATTGTAGAAAAAGTGTGTCAAAGCTGCGCTATCAAAGGGAAAGTTCAACTCTGTGAGGTGAATGCAAACATCCCAAAGAAGTTTCTGAGAATGCTTCCGTTTAGCTTTTAGGTGAAGATTATCCCGTTTCCAACGAAACCTTCAAAGAGGTCCAAATATCCCCTTGCGGATCCCACAGAAAGAGTGTTTCGAAACTGCTGTTTCAAAAGGAATCTTCAACTCTGTGAGTTGAATGCAATCATCACAAAGAAGTTTCTGACAATGCTTCTCTCTCGTCTTTCTGTGAAGATAAAGGAAAAGGCTTTCAGGCCTTTTCCACCACAGGCCTGAAAGCGCTCCAAATGTCCACTTGCAGATTCTGCGAAAAGAATATTTCAAAACTGCTCTATGAAAAGCAATGTTAAACTCTGTGGCTGGAACACAAACATCACAAAGCGGTTTCTGAGAATGTTTCAGTTTAGTTTTTCTGTGGAAATATTCCCGTTTCCAAAGAAATCTTCAAAGAGGTCCACGTATCCACTTACAGATTCTACAAAAAGACAGTTTCAAAACTGCTCCATCAAAAGGAGGGTTCAACTGTGTGACTTGAATGCAATCATCACTCAGAAGTTTCTGAGAATGCTTCTCTTTAGTTTTTACGTGAACATATACCCGTTTCGAACGAAGGCCACCCAGTGGTCCAAATATCCACTTGCAGATTATACAGAAAGAGTGTTTCGAACCTGAACTCTCAAAGGCAGGTTCATCTCTGCGAGTTAAATGCATTCATCATGAAGAACTTTCTCAGAGTGTTTGTGTTTAGTTATGGGAAATTATTCCCGTTTCCAACGAAATCCTCAGAGAGCTCCAAATATCCACCTGCAGATTCTACCAAAAGTGTATTTGGAAACTGCTCCATCAACAGGCATGTTCAGCTCTGTGAGTGAAACTCCATCATCACAAAGAATATTCTGAGAATGCTTCCGTTTGCCTTTTATATGAAGTTCCTTCCTATACGACCGTAGGCCTCAAAGCAGTCCAAATCTCCATTTGCAGATTCTACAAAAAGAGTGATTCCAATCTGCTCTATCAATAGGATTGTTCAACTCCATGAGTTGAATGCCATCCTCACAAAGTAGTTTCTGAGAATGCTTCTATCTAGTTTTTATGTGAAGGTATTTCCTTTTCCACCACAGGCCTCCAAGCCCTCCAAACGTCCACTTGCAGATTCTCGAAAAAGAGTGTTTTATAGCTGCTCTTTCAAAAGGAAAGTTCAACTCTGGGAGTTGAATACAAACATCACAAAGTAGTTTCCGAGAATGCTTCTGTTTAGTTTTTATGTGAAGATGATCCCGTTTCCAGTGAAATCTTCAAAGAGGTCCACATATCCCCTTGCAGATTCCAAAGAAAGAGGGTTTAAAAACTGCTCCATCAGAAGGATTGTTCAACTCTGTGAGTTGAATGCAGTCATCGCAGAAAACTTTCTGAGAATGCTTCTGTCTAGGATTGATGTGAAGATATAGACGTTTCAAATGAAGGCTACAAAGTGGTCAAAATATACACTTGCAGATTCTACTACAAGGGTGTTGCAAACCTGAACTATCAAAGGAAGGTTCAACTCTGTGAGTTGAATACAAACATCACAAAGAATGTTCTGAGTTTGCTTCCGTTCAGTTATGGGAAGTTGATCCCGTTTCCAACGAAATCCTCAGAGAGGTCCAAATATCCCCTTGCAGATTCTACAAAACGTGTGTTTGGAAACTGCTCCATCATAACGAATGTTCAGCTCCCTGAGTTAAACTCCATCGTCACAAAGAATTTTCTGAGAGTGCTACCGTCTGGTTTTTATATGAAGTTCTTTCCTTCACTACCACTGGCCTCAAAGCGGTCCAAATCTCCACTTGCAGATTCTACAAAAAGAGTGTTTGCAAACTGCTCTATCAAAAGGAATGTTCAACTCTGGGAGTTGAATGCAATCATCACAGAGCAGTTTCTGAGAATGCTTCTATGTCGTTTTTAGGAGAAGATATTTCCTTTTCCAACACAGTCCTCCAAGCCCGCTAAATAGCCACTTGCACATTGTAGAAAAAGTGTGTCAAAGCTGCGCTATCAAAGGGAAAGTTCAACTCTGTGAGGTGAATGCAAACATCCCAAAGAAGTTTCTGAGAATGCTTCCGTTTAGCTTTTAGGTGAAGATTATCCCGTTTCCAACGAAACCTTCAAAGAGGTCCAAATATCCCCTTGCGGATCCCACAGAAAGAGTGTTTCGAAACTGCTGTTTCAAAAGGAATCTTCAACTCTGTGAGTTGAATGCAATCATCACAAAGAAGTTTCTGACAATGCTTCTCTCTCGTCTTTCTGTGAAGATAAAGGAAAAGGCTTTCAGGCCTTTTCCACCACAGGCCTGAAAGCGCTCCAAATGTCCACTTGCAGATTCTGCCAAAAGAATATTTCAAAACTGCTCTATGAAAAGCAATGTTAAACTCTGTGGCTCGAACACAAACATCACAAAGCGGTTTCTGAGAATGCTTCAGTTTAGTTTTTCTGTGGAAATATTCCCGTTTCGAAAGAAATCTTCAAAGAGGTCCACGTATCCACTTACAGATTCTACAAAAAGACAGTTTCAAAACTGCTCAATCAAAAGGAGGGTTCAACCGTGTGACTTGAATGCAATCATCACTCAGAAGTTTCTGAGAACGCTTCTGTTTAGTTTTTACGTGAACATATAGCCGTTTCGAACGAAGGCCACCCAGTGGTCCAAATATCCACTTGCAGATTCTACAGAAAGAGTGTTTCGAACCTGAACTCTCAAAGGCAGGTTCATCTCTGCGAGTTCAATGCATTCATCATGAAGAACTTTCTCAGCGTGTTTGTGTTTAGTTATGGGAAATTATTCCCGTTTCCAACGAAATCCTCAGAGAGCTCCAAATATCCACCTGCAGATTCTACCAAAAGTGTATTTGGAAACTGCTCCATCAAAAGGCATGTTCAGCTCTGTGAGTGAAACTCCATCATCACAAAGAATATTCTGAGAATGCTTCCGTTTGCCTTTTATATGAAGTTCCTTCCTATACTACCGTAGGCCTCAAAGCAGTCCAAATCTCCATTTGCAGATTCTACAAAAAGAGTGATTCCAATCTGCTCTATCAATAGGATTGTTCAACTCCATGAGTTGAATGCCATCCTCACAAAGTCGTTTCTGAGAATGCTTCTATCTAGTTTTAATGTGAAGATATTTCCTTTTCCACCACAGGCCTCAAAGCCCTCCAAACGTCCACTTGCAGATTCTCGAAAAAGAGTGTTTCATAGCTGCTCTTTCAAAAGGAAAGTTCAACTCTGGGAGTTGAATACAAACATCACAAAGTAGTTTCCGAGAATGCTTCTGTTTAGTTTTTATGTGAAGATGATCCCGTTTCCAGTGAAATCTTCAAAGAGGTCCACATATCCCCTTGCAGATTCCAAAGAAAGAGGGTTTCAAAACTGCTCCATCAGAAGGATTGTTCAACTCTGTGAGTGGAATGCAGTCATCGCAGAAAACTTTCTGAGAATGCTTCTGTCTAGGTTTGATGTGAAGATATAGACGTTTCAAACGAAGGCTACAAAGTGGTCAAAATATACACTTGCAGATTCTACTACAAGGGTGTTGCAAACCTGAACTATCAAAGGAAGGTTCAACTCTGTGAGTTGAATACAAACATCACAAAGAATGTTCTGAGTTTGCTTCCGTTCAGTTATGGGAAGTTGATCCCGTTTCCAACGAAATCCTCAGAGAGGTCCAAATATCCCCTTGCAGATTCTACAAAACGTGTGTTTGGAAACTGCTCCATCATAACGAATGTTCAGCTCCCTGAGTTAAACTCCATCGTCACAAAGAATTTTCTGAGAGTGCTACCGTCTGGTTTTTATATGAAGCTCTTTCCTTCACTACCACAGACCTCAAAGCGGTCCAAATCTCCACTTGCAGATTCTACAAAAAGAGTGTTTGCAAACTGCTCTATCAAAAGGAATGTTCAACTCTGGGAGTTGAATGCAATCATCACAGAGCAGTTTCTGAGAATGCTTCTATGTCGTTTTTAGGAGAAGATATTTCCTTTTCCAACACAGTCCTCCAAGCCCGCTAAATAGCCACTTGCACATTGTAGAAAAAGTGTGTCAAAGCTGCGCTATCAAAGGGAAAGTTCAACTCTGTGAGGTGAATGCAAACATCCCAAAGATGTTTCTGAGAATGCTTCCGTTTAGCTTTTAGGTGAAGATTATCCCGTTTCCAACGAAACCTTCAAAGAGGTCCAAATATCCCCTTGCGGATCCCACAGAAAGAGTGTTTCGAAACTGCTGTTTCAAAAGGAATCTTCAACTCTGTGAGTTGAATGCAATCATCACAAAGAAGTTTCTGACAATGCTTCTCTCTCGTCTTTCTGTGAAGATAAAGGAAAAGGCTTTCAGGCCTTTTCCACCACAGGCCTGAAAGCGCTCCAAATGTCCACTTGCAGATTCTGCCAAAAGAATATTTCAAAACTGCTCTATGAAAAGCAATGTTAAACTCTGTGGCTCGAACACAAACATCACAAAGCGGTTTCTGAGAATGCTTCAGTTTAGTTTTTCTGTGGAAATATTCCCGTTTCCAAAGAAATCTTCAAAGAGGTCCACGTATCCACTTACAGATTCTACAAAAAGACAGTTTCAAAACTGCTCCATCAAAAGGAGGGTTCTACTGTGTGACTTGAATGCAATCATCACTCACAAGTTTCTGAGAATGCTTCTCTTTAGTTTTTACGTGAACATATACCCGTTTCGAACGAAGGCCACACAGTGGTCCAAATATCCACTTGCAGATTCTACAGAAAGAGTGTTTCGAACCTGAACTCTCAAAGGCAGGTTCATCTCTGCGAGTTAAATGCATTCATCATGAAGAACTTTCTCAGAGTGTTTGTGTTTAGTTATGGGAAATTATTCCCGTTTCCAACGAAATCCTCAGAGAGCTCCAAATATCCACCTGCAGATTCTACCAAAAGTGTATTTGGAAACTGCTCCATCAAAAGGCATGTTCAGCTCTGTGAGTGAAACTCCATCATCACAAAGAATATTCTGAGAATGCTTCCGTTTGCCTTTTATATGAAGTTCCTTCCTATACGACCGTAGGCCTCAAAGCAGTCCAAATCTCCATTTGCAGATTCTACAAAAAGAGTGATTCCAATCTGCTCTATCAATAGGATTGTTCAACTCCATGAGTTGAATGCCATCCTCACAAAGTCGTTTCTGAGAATGCTTCTATCTAGTTTTTATGTGAAGATATTTCCTTTTCCACCACAGGCCTCAAAGCCCTCCAAACGTCCACTTGCAGATTCTCGAAAAAGAGTGTTTCATAGCTGCTCTTTCAAAAGGAAAGTTCAACTCTGGGAGTTGAATACAAACATCACAAAGTAGTTTCCGAGAATGCTTCTGTTTAGTTGTTATGTGAAGATGATCCCGTTTCCAGTGAAATCTTCAAAGAGGTCCATATATCCCCTTGCAGATTCCAAAGAAAGAGGGTTTCAAAACTGCTCCATCAAAAGGATTGTGCAACTCTGTGAGTTGAATGCAGTCATCGCAGAAAACTTTCTGAGAATGCTTCTGTCTAGGTTTGATGTGAAGATATAGACGTTTCAAACGAAGGCTACAAAGTGGTCAAAATATACACTTGCAGATTCTACTACAAGGGTGATGCAAACCTCAACTATCAAAGGAAGGTTCAACTCTGTGAGTTGAATACAAACATCACAAAGAATGTTCTGAGTTTGCTTCCGTTCAGTTATGGGAAGTTGATCCCGTTTCCAACGAAATCCTCAGAGAGGTCCAAATATCCCCTTGCAGATTCTACAAAACGTGTGTTTGGAAACTGCTCCATCATAACGGATGTTCAGCTCTCTGAGTTAAACTCCATCGTCACAAAGAATTTTCTGAGAGTGCTACCGTCTGGTTTTTATATGAAGTTGTTTCCTTTACTACCACAGGCCTCAAAGCGGTCCAAATCTCCACTTGCAGATTCTACAAAAAGAGTGTTTGCAAACTGCTCTATCAAAAGGAATGTTCAACTCTGGGAGTTGAATGCAATCATCACAGAGCAGTTTCTGAGAATGCTTCTATGTCGTTTTTAGGAGAAGATATTTCCTTTTCCAACACAGTCCTCCAAGCCCGCTAAATATCCACTTGCACATTGTAGAAAAAGTGTGTCGAAGCTGCGCTATCAAAGGGAAAGTTCAACTCTGTGAGGTGAATGCAAACATCCCAAAGAAGTTTCTGAGAATGCTTCCGTTTAGCTTTTAGGTGAAGATTATCCCGTTTCCAACGAAACCTTCAAAGAGGTCCAAATATCCCCTTGCGGATCCCACAGAAAGAGTGTTTCGAAACTGCTGTTTCAAAAGGAATCTTCAACTCTGTGAGTTGAATGCAATCATCACAAAGAAGTTTCTGACAATGCTTCTCTCTCGTCTTTCTGTGAAGATAAAGGAAAAGGCTTTCAGGCCTTTTCCACCACAGGCCTGAAAGCGCTCCAAATGTCCACTTGCAGATTCTGCCAAAAGAATATTTCAAAACTGCTCTATGAAAAGCAATGTTAAACTCTGTGGCTCGAACACAAACATCACAAAGCAGTTTCTGAGAATGCTTCAGTTTAGTTTTTCTGTGGAAATATTCCCGTTTCCAAAGAAATCTTCAAAGAGGTCCACGTATCCACTTACAGATTCTACAAAAAGACAGTTTCAAAACTGCTCCATCAAAAGGAGGGTTCAACTGTGTGACTTGAATGCAATCATCACTCAGAAGTTTCTGAGAATGCTTCTCTTTAGTTTTTACGTGAACATATACCCGTTTCGAACGAAGGCCAGCCAGTGGTCCAAATATCCACTTGCAGATTCTACAGAAAGAGTGTTTCGAACATGAACTCTCAAAGGCAGGTTCATCTCTGCGAGTTAAATGCATTCATCATGAAGAACTTTCTCAGAGTGTTTGTGTTTAGTTATGGGAAATTATTCCCGTTTCCAACGAAAGCCTCAGAGAGCTCCAAATATCCACCTGCAGATTCTACCAAAAGTGTATTTGGAAACTGCTCCATCAAAAGGCATGTTCAGCTCTGTCAGTGAAACTCCATCATCACAAAGAATATTCTGAGAATGCTTCCGTTTGCCTTTTATATGAAGTTCCTTCCTGTACTACCGTAGGCCTCAAAGCAGTCCAAATCTCCATTTGCAGATTCTACAAAAAGAGTGATTCCAATCTGCTCTATCAATAGGATTGTTCAACTCCATGAGTTGAATGCCATCCTCA
Organism: Homo sapiens; assembly: GCF_000001405.40. Taxonomy (NCBI): domain Eukaryota; kingdom Metazoa; phylum Chordata; class Mammalia; order Primates; family Hominidae; genus Homo; species Homo sapiens. The sequence continues at coordinate 59,409,689 of NC_000023.11, read as the reverse complement.
CAAAGTAGTTTCTGAGAATGCTTCTATCTGGTTTTTGTGTGAAGATATTTCCTTTTCCACCACAGGCCTCAAAGCCCTCCAAACGTCCACTTGCAGATTCTCGAAAAAGAGTGTTTCATAGCTGCTCTTTCAAAAGGAAAGTTCAACTCTGGGAGTTGAATACAAACATCACAAAGTAGTTTCCGAGAATGCTTCTGTTTAGTTTTTATGTGAAGATGATCCCGTTTCCAGTGAAATCTTCAAAGAGGTCCACATATCCCCTTGCAGATTCCAAAGAAAGAGGGTTTCAAAACTGCTCCATCAGAAGGATTGTTCAACTCTGTGAGTTGAATGCAGTCATCGCAGAAAACTTTCTGAGAATGCTTCTGTCTAGGTTTGATGTGAAGATATAGACGTTTCAAACGAAGGCTACAAAGTGGTCAAAATATACACTTGCAGATTCTACTACAAGGGTGTTGCAAACCTGAACTATCAAAGGAAGGTTGAACTCTGTGAGTTGAATACAAACATCACAAAGAATGTTCTGAGTTTGCTTCCGTTCAGTTATGGGAAGTTGATCCCGTTTCCAACGAAATCCTCAGAGAGGTCCAAATATCCCCTTGCAGATTCTACAAAACGTGTGTTTGGAAACTGCTCCATCATAACGAATGTTCAGCTCCCTGAGTTAAACTCCATCGTCACAAAGAATTTTCTGAGAGTGCTACCGTCTGGTTTTTATATGAAGTTCTTTCCTTCACTACCACAGGCCTCAAAGCGGTCCAAATCTCCACTTGCAGATTCTACAAAAAGAGTGTTTGCAAACTGCTCTATCAAAAGGAATGTTCAACTCTGGGAGTTGAATGCAATCATCACAGAGCAGTTTCTGAGAATGCTTCTATGTCGTTTTTAGAAGATATTTCCTTTTCCAACACAGTCCTCCAAGCCCGCTAAATATCCACTTGCACATTGTAGAAAAAGTGTGTCAAAGCTGCGCTATCAAAGGGAAAGTTCAACTCTGTGAGGTGAATGCAAACATCCCAAAGAAGTTTCTGAGAATGCTTCCGTTTAGCTTTTAGGTGAAGATTATCCCGTTTCCAACGAAACCTTCAAAGAGGTCCAAATATCCCCTTGCGGATCCCACAGAAAGAGTGTTTCGAAACTGCTGTTTCAAAAGGAATCTTCAACTCTGTGAGTTGAATGCAATCATCACAAAGAAGTTTCTGACAATGCTTCTCTCTCGTCTTTCTGTGAAGATAAAGGAAAAGGCTTTCAGGCCTTTTCCACCACAGGCCTGAAAGCGCTCCAAATGTCCACTTGCAGATTCTGCCAAAAGAATATTTCAAAACTGCTCTATGAAAAGCAATGTTAAACTCTGTGGCTCGAACACAAACATCACAAAGCGGTTTCTGAGAATGCTTCAGTTTAGTTTTTCTGTGGAAATATTCCCGTTTCGAAAGAAATCTTCAAAGAGGTCCACGTATCCACTTACAGATTCTACAAAAAGACAGTTTCAAAACTGCTCCATCAAAAGGAGGGTTCAACTGTGTGACTTGAATGCAATCATCACTCAGAAGTTTCTGAGAACGCTTCTGTTTAGTTTTTACGTGAACATATACCCGTTTCGAACGAAGGCCACCCAGTGGTCCAAATATCCACTTGCAGATTCTACAGAAAGAGTGTTTCGAACCTGAACTCTCAAAGGCAGGTTCATCTCTGCGAGTTCAATGCATTCATCATGAAGAACTTTCTCAGCGTGTTTGTGTTTAGTTATGGGAAATTATTCCCGTTTCCAACGAAATCCTCAGAGAGCTCCAAATATCCACCTGCAGATTCTACCAAAAGTGTATTTGGAAACTGCTCCATGAAAAGGCATGTTCAGCTCTGTGAGTGAAACTCCATCATCACAAAGAATATTCTGAGAATGCTTCCGTTTGCCTTTTATATGAAGTTCCTTCCTATACTACCGTAGGCCTCAAAGCAGTCCAAATCTCCATTTGCAGATTCTACAAAAAGAGTGATTCCAATCTGCTCTATCAATAGGATTGTTCAACTCCATGAGTTGAATGCCATCCTCACAAAGTCGTTTCTGAGAATGCTTCTATCTAGTTTTTATGTGAAGATATTTCCTTTTCCACCACAGGCCTCAAAGCCCTCCAAACGTCCACTTGCAGATTCTCGAAAAAGAGTGTTTCATAGCTGCTCTTTCAAAAGGAATGTTCAACTCTGGGAGTTGAATACAAACATCACAAAGTCGTTTCCGAGAATGCTTCTGTTTAGTTCTTATGTGAAGATGATCCCGTTTCCAGTGAAATCTTCAAAGAGGTCCACATATCCCCTTGCAGATTCCAAAGAAAGAGGGTTTCAAAACTGCTCCATCAAAAGGATTGTTCAACTCTGTGAGTTGAATGCAGTCATCGCAGAAAACTTTCTGAGAATGCTTCTTTCTAGGTTTGATGTGAAGATATAGACGTTTCAAACGAAGGCTACAAAGTGGTCAAAATATACACTTGCAGATTCTACTACAAGGGTGTTGCAAACCTGAACTATCAAAGGAAGGTTCAACTCTGTGAGTTGAATACAAACATCACAAAGAATGTTCTGAGTTTGCTTCCGTTCAGTTATGGGAAGTTGATCCCGTTTCCAACGAAATCCTCAGAGAGGTCCAAATATCCCCTCACAGATTCTACAAAACGTGTGTTTGGAAACTGCTCCATCATAACGAATGTTCAGCTCCCTGAGTTAAACTCCATCGTCACAAAGAATTTTCTGAGAGTGCTACCGTCTGGTTTTTATATGAAGTTCTTTCCTTCACTACCACAGGCCTCAAAGCGGTCCAAATCTCCACTTGCAGATTCTACAAAAAGAGTGTTTGCAAACTGCTCTATCAAAAGGAATGTTCAACTCTGGGAGTTGAATGCAATCATCACAGAGCAGTTTCTGAGAATGCTTCTATGTCGTTTTTAGAAGATATTTCCTTTTCCAACACAGTCCTCCAAGCCCGCTAAATAGCCACTTGCACATTGTAGAAAAAGTGTGTCAAAGCTGCGCTATCAAAGGGAAAGTTCAACTCTGTGAGGTGAATGCAAACATCCCAAAGAAGTTTCTGAGAATGCTTCCGTTTAGCTTTTAGGTGAAGATTATCCCGTTTCCAACGAAACCTTCAAAGAGGTCCAAATATCCCCTTGCGGATCCCACAGAAAGAGTGTTTCGAAACTGCTGTTTCAAAAGGAATCTTCAACTCTGTGAGTTGAATGCAATCATCACAAAGAAGTTTCTGACAATGCTTCTCTCTCGTCTTTCTGTGAAGATAAAGGAAAAGGCTTTCAGGCCTTTTCCAACCACAGGCCTGAAAGCGCTCCAAATGTCCACTTGCAGATTCTGCGAAAAGAATATTTCAAAACTGCTCTATGAAAAGCAATGTTAAACTCTGTGGCTCGAACACAAACATCACAAAGCAGTTTCTGAGAATGCTTCAGTTTAGTTTTTCTGTGGAAATATTCCCGTTTCCAAAGAAATCTTCAAAGAGGTCCACGTATCCACTTACAGATTCTACAAAAAGACAGTTTCAAAACTGCTCCATCAAAAGGAGGGTTCAACTGTGTGACTTGAATGCAATCATCACTCAGAAGTTTCTGAGAATGCTTCTCTTTAGTTTTTACGTGAACATATACCCGTTTCGAACGAAGGCCAGCCAGTGGTCCAAATATCCACTTGCAGATTCTACAGAAAGAGTGTTTCGAACCTGAACTCTCAAAGGCAGGTTCATCTCTGCGAGTTAAATGCATTCATCATGAAGAACTTTCTCAGAGTGTTTGTGTTTAGTTATGGGAAATTATTCCCGTTTCCAACGAAATCCTCAGAGAGCTCCAAATATCCACCTGCAGATTCTACCAAAAGTGTATTTGGAAACTGCTCCATCAAAAGGCATGTTCAGCTCTGTGAGTGAAACTCCATCATCACAAAGAATATTCTGAGAATGCTTCCGTTTGCCTTTTATATGAAGTTCCTTCCTATACGACCGTAGGCCTCAAAGCAGTCCAAATCTCCATTTGCAGATTCTACAAAAAGAGTGATTCCAATCTGCTCTATCAATAGGATTGTTCAACTCCATGAGTTGAATGCCATCCTCACAAAGTCGTTTCTGAGAATGCTTCTATCTAGTTTTTATGTGAAGATATTTCCTTTTCCACCACAGGCCTCAAAGCCCTCCAAACGTCCACTTGCAGATTCTCGAAAAAGAGAGTTTCATAGCTGCTCTTTCAAAAGGAAAGTTCAACTCTGGGAGTTGAATACAAACATCACAAAGTAGTTTCCGAGAATGCTTCTGTTTAGTTTTTATGTGAAGATGATCCCGTTTCCAGTGAAATCTTCAAAGAGGTCCACATATCCCCTTGCAGATTCCAAAGAAAGAGGGTTTCAAAACTGCTCCATCAGAAGGATTGTTCAACTCTGTGAGTTGAATGCAGTCATCGCAGAAAACTTTCTGAGAATGCTTCTGTCTAGGTTTGATGTGAAGATATAGACGTTTCAAACGAAGGCTACAAAGTGGTCAAAATATACACTTGCAGATTCTACTACAAGGGTGTTGCAAACCTGAACTATCAAAGGAAGGTTCAACTCTGTGAGTTGAATACAAACATCACAAAGAATGTTCTGAGTTTGCTTCCGTTCAGTTATGGGAAGTTGATCCCTTTTCCAACGAAATCCTCAGAGAGGTCCAAATATCCCCTCGCAGATTCTACAAAACGTGTGTTTGGAAACTGCTCCATCATAACGAATGTTCAGCTCCCTGAGTTAAACTCCATCGTCACAAAGAATTTTCTGAGAGTGCTACCGTCTGGTTTTTATATGAAGTTCTTTCCTTCACTACCACAGGCCTCAAAGCGGTCCAAATCTCCACTTGCAGATTCTACAAAAAGAGTGTTTGCAAACTGCTCTATCAAAAGGAATGTTCAACTCTGGGAGTTGAATGCAATCATCACAGAGCAGTTTCTGAGAATGCTTCTATGTCGTTTTTAGGAGAAGATATTTCCTTTTCCAACACAGTCCTCCAAGCCCGCTAAATAGCCACTTGCACATTGTAGAAAAAGTGTGTCAAAGCTGCGCTATCAAAGGGAAAGTTCAACTCTGTGAGGTGAATGCAAACATCCCAAAGAAGTTTCTGAGAATGCTTCCGTTTAGCTTTTAGGTGAAGATTATCCCGTTTCCAACGAAACCTTCCAAGAGGTCCAAATATCCCCTTGCGGATCCCACAGAAAGAGTGTTTCGAAACTGCTGTTTCAAAAGGAATCTTCAACTCTGTGAGTTGAATGCAATCATCACAAAGAAGTTTCTGACAATGCTTCTCTCTCGTCTTTCTGTGAAGATAAAGGAAAAGGCTTTCAGGCCTTTTCCACCACAGGCCTGAAAGCGCTCCAAATGTCCACTTGCAGATTCTGCGAAAAGAATATTTCAAAACTGCTCTATGAAAAGCAATGTTAAACTCTGTGGCTCGAACACAAACATCACAAAGCAGTTTCTGAGAATGATTCAGTTTAGTTTTTCTGTGGAAATATTCCCGTTTCCAAAGAAATCTTCAAAGAGGTCCACGTATCCACTTACAGATTCTACAAAAAGACAGTTTCAAAACTGCTCCATCAAAAGGAGGGTTCAACTGTGTGACTTGAATGCAATCATCACTCAGAAGTTTCTGAGAATGCTTCTCTTTAGTTTTTACGTGAACATATACCCGTTTCGAACGAAGGCCACCCAGGGGTCCAAATATCCACTTGCAGATTCTACAGAAAGAGTGTTTCGAACCTGAACTCTCAAAGGCAGGTTCATCTCTGCGAGTTAAATGCATTCATGATGAAGAACTTTCTCAGAGTGTTTGTGTTTAGTTATGGGAAATTATTCCCGTTTCCAACGAAATCCTCAGAGAGCTCCAAATATCCACCTGCAGATTCTACCAAAAGTGTATTTGGAAACTGCTCCATCAAAAGGCATGTTCAGCTCTGTGAGTGAAACTCCATCATCACAAAGAATATTCTGAGAATGCTTCCGTTTGCCTTTTATATGAAGTTCCTTCCTATACGACCGTAGGCCTCAAAGCAGTCCAAATCTCCATTTGCAGATTCTACAAAAAGAGTGATTCCAATCTGCTCTATCAATAGGATTGTTCAACTCCATGAGTTGAATGCCATCCTCACAAAGTAGTTTCTGAGAATGCTTCTATCTAGTTTTATGTGAAGATATTTCCTTTTCCACCACAGGCCTCCAAGCCCTCCAAACGTCCACTTGCAGATTCTCGAAAAAGAGTGTTTCATAGCTGCTCTTTCAAAAGGAAAGTTCAACTCTGGGAGTTGAATACAAACATCACAAAGTAGTTTCCGAGAATGCTTCTGTTTAGTTTTTATGTGAAGATGATCCCGTTTCCAGTGAAATCTTCAAAGAGGTCCACATATCCCCTTGCAGATTCCAAAGAAAGAGGGTTTCAAAACTGCTCCATCAGAAGGATTGTTCAACTCTGTGAGTTGAATGCAGTCATCGCAGAAAACTTTCTGAGAATGCTTCTGTCTAGGTTTGATGTGAAGATATAGACGTTTCAAATGAAGGCTACAAAGTGGTCAAAATATACACTTGCAGATTCTACTACAAGGGTGTTGCAAACCTGAACTATCAAAGGAAGGTTCAACTCTGTGAGTTGAATACAAACATCACAAAGAATGTTCTGAGTTTGCTTCCGTTCAGTTATGGGAAGTTGATCCCGTTTCCAACGAAATCCTCAGAGAGGTCCAAATATCCCCTTGCAGATTCTACAAAACGTGTGTTTGGAAACTGCTCCATCATAACGAATGTTCAGCTCCCTGAGTTAAACTCCATCGTCACAAAGAATTTTCTGAGAGTGCTACCGTCTGGTTTTTATATGAAGTTCTTTCCTTCACTACCACTGGCCTCAAAGCGGTCCAAATCTCCACTTGCAGATTGTACAAAAAGAGTGTTTGCAAACTGCTCTATCAAAAGGAATGTTCAACTCTGGGAGTTGAATGCAATCATCACAGAGCAGTTTCTGAGAATGCTTCTATGTCGTTTTTAGGAGAAGATATTTCCTTTTCCAACACAGTCCTCCAAGCCCGCTAAATAGCCACTTGCACATTGTAGAAAAAGTGTGTCAAAGCTGCGCTATCAAAGGGAAAGTTCAACTCTGTGAGGTGAATGCAAACATCCCAAAGAAGTTTCTGAGAATGCTTCCGTTTAGCTTTTAGGTGAAGATTATCCCGTTTCCAACGAAACCTTCAAAGAGGTCCAAATATCCCCTTGCGGATCCCACAGAAAGAGTGTTTCGAAACTGCTGTTTCAAAAGGAATCTTCAACTCTGTGAGTTGAATGCAATCATCACAAAGAAGTTTCTGACAATGCTTCTCTCTCGTCTTTCTGTGAAGATAAAGGAAAAGGCTTTCAGGCCCTTTTCCACCACAGGCCTGAAAGCGCTCCAAATGTCCACTTGCAGATTCTGCGAAAAGAATATTTCAAAACTGCTCTATGAAAAGCAATGTTAAACTCTGTGGCTCGAACACAAACATCACAAAGCGGTTTCTGAGAATGCTTCAGTTTAGTTTTTCTGTGGAAATATTCCCGTTTCCAAAGAAATCTTCAAAGAGGTCCACGTATCCACTTACAGATTCTACAAAAAGACAGTTTCAAAACTGCTCCATCAAAAGGAGGGTTCAACTGTGTGACTTGAATGCAATCATCACTCAGAAGTTTCTGAGAATGCTTCTCTTTAGTTTTTACGTGAACATATTCCCGTTTCGAACGAAGGCCACCCAGTGTTCCAAATATCCACTTGCAGATTCTACAAGAAGAGTGTTTCGAACATGAACTCTCAAAGGCAGGTTCATCTCTGCGAGTTAAATGCATTCATCATGAAGAACTTTCTCAGAGTGTTTGTGTTTAGTTATGGGAAATTATTCCCGTTTCCAACGAAATCCTCAGAGAGCTCCAAATGTCCACCTGCAGATTCTACCAAAAGTGTATTTGGAAACTGCTCCATCAAAAGGCAAGTTCAGCTCTGTGAGTGAAACTCCATCATCACAAAGAATATTCTGAGAATGCTTCCGTTTGCCTTTTATATGAAGTTCCTTCCTGTACTACCGTAGGCCTCAAAGCAGTCCAAATCTCCATTTGCAGATTCTACAAAAAGAGTGATTCCAATCTGCTCTATCAATAGGATTGTTCAACTCCATGAGTTGAATGCCATCCTCACAAAGTAGTTTCTGAGAATGCTTCTATCTGGTTTTTGTGTGAAGATATTTCCTTTTCCACCACAGGCCTCAAAGCCCTCCAAACGTCCACTTGCAGATTCTCGAAAAAGAGTGTTTCATAGCTGCTCTTTCAAAAGGAAAGTTCAACTCTGGGAGTTGAATACAAACATCACAAAATAGTTTCCGAGAATGCTTCTGTTTAGTTTTTATGTGAAGATGATCCCGTTTCCAGTGAAATCTTCAAAGAGGTCCACATATCCCCTTGCAGATTCCAAAGAAAGAGGGTTTCAAAACTGCTCCATCAGAAGGATTGTTCAACTCTGTGAGTTGAATGCAGTCATCGCAGAAAACTTTCTGAGAATGCTTCTGTCTAGGTTTGATGTGAAGATATAGACGTTTCAAACGAAGGCTACAAAGTGGTCAAAATATACACTTGCAGATTCTACTACAAGGGTGTTGCAAACCTGAACTATCAAAGGAAGGTTCAACTCTGTGAGTTGAATACAAACATCACAAAGAATGTTCTGAGTTTGCTTCCGTTCAGTTATGGGAAGTTGATCCCGTTTCCAACGAAATCCTCAGAGAGGTCCAAATATCCCCTTGCAGATTCTACAAAACGTGTGTTTGGAAACTGCTCCATCATAACGAATGTTCAGCTCCCTGAGTTAAACTCCATCGTCACAAAGAATTTTCTGAGAGTGCTACCGTCTGGTTTTTATATGAAGTTCTTTCCTTCACTACCACAGGCCTCAAAGCGGTCCAAATCTCCACTTGCAGATTCTACAAAAAGAGTGTTTGCAAACTGCTCTATCAAAAGGAATGTTCAACTCTGGGAGTTGAATGCAATCATCACAGAGCAGTTTCTGAGAATGCTTCTATGTCGTTTTTAGGAGAAGATATTTCCTTTTCCAACACAGTCCTCCAAGCCCGCTAAATAGCCACTTGCACATTGTAGAAAAAGTGTGTCAAAGCTGCGCTATCAAAGGGAAAGTTCAACTCTGTGAGGTGAATGCAAACATCCCAAAGAAGTTTCTGAGAATGCTTCCGTTTAGCTTTTAGGTGAAGATTATCCCGTTTCCAACGAAACCTTCAAAGAGGTCCAAATATCCCCTTGCGGATCCCACAGAAAGAGTGTTTCGAAACTGCTGTTTCAAAAGGAATCTTCAACTCTGTGAGTTGAATGCAATCATCACAAAGAAGTTTCTGACAATGCTTCTCTCTCGTCTTTCTGTGAAGATAAAGGAAAAGGCTTTCAGGCCTTTTCCACCACAGGCCTGAAAGCGCTCCAAATGTCCACTTGCAGATTCTGCCAAAAGAATATTTCAAAACTGCTCTATGAAAAGCAATGTTAAACTCTGTGGCTGGAACACAAACATCACAAAGCGGTTTCTGAGAATGTTTCAGTTTAGTTTTTCTGTGGAAATATTCCCGTTTCCAAAGAAATCTTCAAAGAGGTCCACGTATCCACTTACAGATTCTACAAAAAGACAGTTTCAAAACTGCTCCATCAAAAGGAGGGTTCAACTGTGTGACTTGAATGCAATCATCACTCAGAAGTTTCTGAGAATGCTTCTCTTTAGTTTTTACGTGAACATATACCCGTTTCGAACGAAGGCCACCCAGTGGTCCAAATATCCACTTGCAGATTATACAGAAAGAGTGTTTCGAACCTGAACTCTCAAAGGCAGGTTCATCTCTGCGAGTTAAATGCATTCATCATGAAGAACTTTCTCAGAGTGTTTGTGTTTAGTTATGGGAAATTATTCCCGTTTCCAACGAAATCCTCAGAGAGCTCCAAATATCCACCTGCAGATTCTACCAAAAGTGTATTTGGAAACTGCTCCATCAAAAGGCATGTTCAGCTCTGTGAGTGAAACTCCATCATCACAAAGAATATTCTGAGAATGCTTCCGTTTGCCTTTTATATGAAGTTCCTTCCTATACTACCGTAGGCCTCAAAGCAGTCCAAATCTCCATTTGCAGATTCTACAAAAAGAGTGATTCCAATCTGCTCTATCAATAGGATTGTTCAACTCCATGAGTTGAATGCCATCCTCACAAAGTCGTTTCTGAGAATGCTTCTATCTAGTTTTTATGTGAAGATATTTCCTTTTCCACCACAGGCCTCAAAGCCCTCCAAACGTCCACTTGCAGATTCTCGAAAAAGAGTGTTTCATAGCTGCTCTTTCAAAAGGAAAGTTCAACTCTGGGAGTTGAATACAAACATCACAAAGTAGTTTCCGAGAATGCTTCTGTTTAGTTCTTATGTGAAGATGATCCCGTTTCCAGTGAAATCTTCAAAGAGGTCCACATATCCCCTTGCAGATTCCAAAGAAAGAGGGTTTCAAAACTGCTCCATCAAAAGGATTGTTCAACTCTGTGAGTTGAATGCAGTCATCGCAGAAAACTTTCTGAGAATGCTTTCTGTCTAGGTTTGATGTGACGATATAGACGTTTCAAACGAAGGCTACAAAGTGGTCAAAATATACACTTGCAGATTCTACTACAAGGGTGTTGCAAACCTGAACTATCAAAGGAAGGTTCAACTCTGTGAGTTGAATACAAACATCACAAAGAATGTTCTGAGTTTGCTTCCGTTCAGTTATGGGAAGTTGATCCCGTTTCCAACGAAATCCTCAGAGAGGTCCAAATATCCCCTTGCAGATTCTACAAAACGTGTGTTTGGAAACTGCTCCATCATAACGAATGTTCAGCTCCCTGAGTTAAACTCCATCATCACAAAGAATTTTCTGAGAGTGCTACCGTCTGGTTTTTATATGAAGTTCTTTCCTTCACTACCACAGGCCTCAAAGCGGTCCAAATCTCCACTTGCAGATTCTACAAAAAGAGTGTTTGCAAACTGCTCTATCAAAAGGAATGTTCAACTCTGGGAGTTGAATGCAATCATCACAGAGCAGTTTCTGAGAATGCTTCTATGTCGTTTTTAGGAGAAGATATTTCCTTTTCCAACACAGTCCTCCAAGCCCGCTAAATAGCCACTTGCACATTGTAGAAAAAGTGAGTCAAAGCTGCGCTATCAAAGGGAAAGTTCAACTCTGTGAGGTGAATGCAAACATCCCAAAGAAGTTTCTGAGAATGCTTCCGTTTAGCTTTTAGGTGAAGATTATCCCGTTTCCAACGAAACCTTCAAAGAGGTCCAAATATCCCCTTGCGGATCCCACAGAAAGAGTGTTTCGAAACTGCTGTTTCAAAAGGAATCTTCAACTCTGTGAGTTGAATGCAATCATCACAAAGAAGTTTCTGACAATGCTTCTCTCTCGTCTTTCTGTGAAGATAAAGGAAAAGGCTTTCAGGCCTTTTCCACCACAGGCCTGAAAGCGCTCCAAATGTCCACTTGCAGATTCTGCGAAAAGAATATTTCAAAACTGCTCTATGAAAAGCAATGTTAAACTCTGTGGCTCGAACACAAACATCACAAAGCGGTTTCTGAGAATGCTTCAGTTTAGTTTTTCTGTGGAAATATTCCCGTTTCCAAAGAAATCTTCAAAGAGGTCCACGTATCCACTTACAGATTCTACAAAAAGACAGTTTCAAAACTGCTCCATCAAAAGGAGGGTTCAACCGTGTGACTTGAATGCAATCATCACTCAGAAGTTTCTGAGAATGCTTCTCTTTAGTTTTTACGTGAACATATACCCGTTTCGAACGAAGGCCAGCCAGTGGTCCAAATATCCACTTGCAGATTATACAGAAAGAGTGTTTCGAACCTGAACTCTCAAAGGCAGGTTCATCTCTGCGAGTTAAATGCATTCATCATGAAGAACTTTCTCAGAGTGTTTGTGTTTAGTTATGGGAAATTATTCCCGTTTCCAAAGAAATCCTCAGAGAGCTCCAAATATCCACCTGCAGATTCTACCAAAAGTGTATTTGGAAACTGCTCCATCAAAAGGCATGTTCAGCTCTGTGAGTGAAACTCCATCATCACAAAGAATATTCTGAGAATGCTTCCGTTTGCCTTTTATATGAAGTTCCTTCCTGTACTACCGTAGGCCTCAAAGCAGTCCAAATCTCCATTTGCAGATTCTACAAAAAGAGTGATTCCAATCTGCTCTATCAATAGGATTGTTCAACTCCATGAGTTGAATGCCATCCTCACAAAGCAGTTTCTGAGAATGCTTCTATCTGGTTTTTGTGTGAAGATATTTCCTTTTCCACCACAGGCCTCAAAGCCCTCTAAACGTCCACTTGCAGATTCTCGAAAAAGAGTGTTTCATAGCTGCTCTTTCAAAAGGAAAGTTCAACTCTGGGAGTTGAATACAAACATCACAAAATAGTTTCCGAGAATGCTTCTGTTTAGTTTTTATGTGAAGATGATCCCGTTTCCAGTGAAATCTTCAAAGAGGTCCACATATCCCCTTGCAGATTCCAAAGAAAGAGGGTTTCAAAACTGCTCCATCAGAAGGATTGTTCAACTCTGTGAGTTGAATGCAGTCATCGCAGAAAACTTTCTGAGAATGCTTCTGTCTAGGTTTGATGTGAAGATATAGACGTTTCAAATGAAGGCTACAAAGTGGTCAAAATATACACTTGCAGATTCTACTACAAGGGTGTTGCAAACCTGAACTATCAAAGGAAGGTTCAACTCTGTGAGTTGAATACAAACATCACAAAGAATGTTCTGAGTTTGCTTCCGTTCAGTTATGGGAAGTTGATCCCGTTTCCAACGAAATCCTCAGAGAGGTCCAAATATCCCCTTGCAGATTCTACAAAACGTGTGTTTGGAAACTGCTCCATCATAACGAATGTCCAGCTCCCTGAGTTAAACTCCATCGTCACAAAGAATTTTCTGAGAGTGCTACCGTCTGGTTTTTATATGAAGTTCTTTCCTTCACTACCACAGGCCTCAATGCGGTCCAAATCTCCACTTGCAGATTCTACAAAAAGAGTGTTTGCAAACTGCTCTATCAAAAGGAATGTTCAACTCTGGGAGTTGAATGCAATCATCACAGAGCAGTTTCTGAGAATGCTTCTATGTCGTTTTTAGGAGAAGATATTTCCTTTTCCAACACAGTCCTCCAAGCCCGCTAAATAGCCACTTGCACATTGTAGAAAAAGTGTGTCAAAGCTGCGCTATCAAAGGGAAAGTTCAACTCTGTGAGGTGAATGCAAACATCCCAAAGAAGTTTCTGAGAATGCTTCCGTTTAGCTTTTAGGTGAAGATTATCCCGTTTCCAACGAAACCTTCAAAGAGGTCCAAATATCCCCTTGCGGATCCCACAGAAAGAGTGTTTCGAAACTGCTGTTTCAAAAGGAATCTTCAACTCTGTGAGTTGAATGCAATCATCACAAAGAAGTTTCTGACAATGCTTCTCTCTCGTCTTTCTGTGAAGATAAAGGAAAAGGCTTTCAGGCCTTTTCCACCACAGGCCTGAAAGCGCTCCAAATGTCCACTTGCAGATTCTGCCAAAAGAATATTTCAAAACTGCTCTATGAAACGCAATGTTAAACTCTGTGGCTCGAACACAAACATCACAAGGCGGTTTCTGAGAATGCTTCAGTTTAGTTTTTCTGTGGAAATATTCCCGTTTCCAAAGAAATCTTCAAAGAGGTCCACGTATCCACTTACAGATTCTACAAAAAGACAGTTTCAAAACTGCTCCATCAAAAGGAGGGTTCAACTGTGTGACTTGAATGCAATCATCACTCAGAAGTTTCTGAGAATGCTTCTCTTTAGTTTTTACGTGAACATATACCCGTTTCGAACGAAGGCCACCCAGTGGTCCAAATATCCACTTGCAGATTCTACAGAAAGAGTGTTTCGAACCTGAACTCTCAAAGGCAGGTTCATCACTGCGAGTTAAATGCATTCATCATGAAGAACTTTCTCAGCGTGTTTGTGTTTAGTTATGGGAAATTATTCCCGTTTCCAACGAAATCCTCAAAGAGCTCCAAATATCCACCTGCAGATTCTACCAAAAGTGTATTTGGAAACTGCTCCATCAAAAGGCATGTTCAGCTCTGTGAGTGAAACTCCATCATCACAAAGAATATTCTGAGAATGCTTCCGTTTGCCTTTTATCTGAAGTTCCTTCCTATACGACCGTAGGCCTCAAAGCAGTCCAAATCTCCATTTGCAGATTCTACAAAAAGAGTGATTCCAATCTGCTCTGTCAATAGGATTGTTCAACTCCATGAGTTGAATGCCATCCTCACAAAGCAGTTTCTGAGAATGCTTCTATCTGGTTTTTGTGTGAAGATATTTCCTTTTCCACCACAGGCCTCAAAGCCCTCCAAACGTCCACTTGCTGATTCTCGAAAAAGAGTGTTTCATAGCTGCTCTTTCAAAAGGAAAGTTCAACTCTGGGAGTTGAATACAAACATCACAAAATAGTTTCCGAGAATGCTTCTGTTTAGTTTTTATGTGAAGATGATCCCGTTTCCAGTGAAATCTTCAAAGAGGTCCACATATCCCCTTGCAGATTCCAAAGAAAGAGTGTTTAAAAACTGCTCCATCAGAAGGATTGTTCAACTCTGTGAGTTGAATGCAGTCATCGCAGAAAACTTTCTGAGAATGCTTCTGTCTAGGTTTGATGTGAAGATATAGACGTTTCAAACGAAGGCTACAAAGTGGTCAAAATATACACTTGCAGATTCTACTACAAGGGTGTTGCAAACCTGAACTATCAAAGGAAGGTTCAACTCTGTGAGTTGAATACAAACATCACAAAGAATGTTCTGAGTTTGCTTCCGTTCAGTTATGGGAAGTTGATCCCGTTTCCAACGAAATCCTCAGAGAGGTCCAAATATCCCCTCGCAGATTCTACAAAACGTGTGTTTGGAAACTGCTCCATCATAACGAATGTTCAGCTCCCTGAGTTAAACTCCATCGTCACAAAGAATTTTCTGAGAGTGCTACCGTCTGGTTTTTATATGAAGTTCTTTCCTTCACTACCACAGGCCTCAAAGCGGTCCAAATCTCCACTTGCAGATTCTACAAAAAGAGTGTTTGCAAACTGCTCTATCAAAAGGAATGTTCAACTCTGGGAGTTGAATGCAATCATCACAGAGCAGTTTCTGAGAATGCTTCTATGTCGTTTTTAGGAGAAGATATTTCCTTTTCCAACACAGTCCTCCAAGCCCGCTAAATAGCCACTTGCACATTGTAGAAAAAGTGTGTCAAAGCTGCGCTATCAAAGGGAAAGTTCAACTCTGTGAGGTGAATGCAAACATCCCAAAGAAGTTTCTGAGAATGCTTCCGTTTAGCTTTTAGGTGAAGATTATCCCGTTTCCAACGAAACCTTCAAAGAGGTCCAAATATCCCCTTGCGGATCCCACAGAAAGAGTGTTTCGAAACTGCTGTTTCAAAAGGAATCTTCAACTCTGTGAGTTGAATGCAATCATCACAAAGAAGTTTCTGACAATGCTTCTCTCTCGTCTTTCTGTGAAGATAAAGGAAAAGGCTTTCAGGCCTTTTCCACCACAGGCCTGAAAGCGCTCCAAATGTCCACTTGTAGATTCTGCCAAAAGAATATTTCAAAACTGCTCTATGAAAAGCAATGTTAAACTCTGTGGCTCGAACACAAACATCACAAAGCAGTTTCTGAGAATGCTTCAGTTTAGTTTTTCTGTGGAAATATTCCCGTTTCCAAAGGAAATCTTCAAAGAGGTCCACGTATCCACTTACAGATTCTACAAAAAGACAGTTTCAAAACTGCTCCATCAAAAGGAGGGTTCAACTGTGTGACTTGAATGCAATCATCACTCAGAAGTTTCTGAGAATGCTTCTCTTTAGTTTTTACGTGAACATATACCCGTTTCGAACGAAGGCCACCCAGTGGTCCAAATATCCACTTGCAGATTCTACAGAAAGAGTGTTTCGAACCTGAACTCTCAAAGGCAGGTTCATCTCTGCGAGTTAAATGCATTCATCATGAAGAACTTTCTCAGAGTGTTTGTGTTTAGTTATGGGAAATTATTCCCGTTTCCAACGAAATCCTCAGAGAGCTCCAAATATCCACCTGCAGATTCTACCAAAAGTGTATTTGGAAACTGCTCCATCAAAAGGCATGTTCAGCTCTGTGAGTGAAACTCCATCATCACAAAGAATATTCTGAGAATGCTTCCGTTTGCCTTTTATATGAAGTTCCTTCCTGTACTACCGTAGGCCTCAAAGCAGTCCAAATCTCCATTTGCAGATTCTACAAAAAGAGTGATTCCAATCTGCTCTATCAATAGGATTGTTCAACTCCATGAGTTGAATGCCATCCTCACAAAGTAGTTTCTGAGAATGCTTCTATCTGGTTTTTGTGTGAAGATATTTCCTTTTCCACCACAGGCCTCAAAGCCCTCCAAACGTCCACTTGCAGATTCTCGAAAAAGAGTGTTTCATAGCTGCTCTTTCAAAAGGAAAGTTCAACTCTGGGAGTTGAATACAAACATCACAAAATAGTTTCCGAGAATGCTTCTGTTTAGTTTTTATGTGAAGATGATCCCGTTTCCAGTGAAATCTTCAAAGAGGTCCACATATCCCCTTGCAGATTCCAAAGAAAGAGGGTTTCAAAACTGCTCCATCAAAAGGATTCTTCAACTCTGTGAGTTGAATGCAGTCATCGCAGAAAACTTTCTGAGAATGCTTCTGTCTAGGTTTGATGTGAAGATATAGACGTTTCAAATGAAGGCTACAAAGTGGTGAAAATATACACTTGCAGATTCTACTACAAGGGTGTTGCAAACCTGAACTATCAAAGGAAGGTTCAACTCTGTGAGTTGAATACAAACATCACAAAGAATGTTCTGAGTTTGCTTCAGTTCAGTTATGGGAAGTTGATCCCGTTTCCAACGAAATCCTCAGAGAGGTCCAAATATCCCCTTGCAGATTCTACAAAACGTGTGTTTGGAAACTGCTCCATCATAACGAATGTTCAGCTCCCTGAGTTAAATTCCATCGTCACAAAGAATTTTCTGAGAGTGCTACCGTCTGGTTTTTATATGAAGTTCTTTCCTTCACTACCACAGGCCTCAAAGCGGTCCAAATCTCCACTTGCAGATTCTACAAAAAGAGTGTTTGCAAACTGCTCTATCAAAAGGAATGTTCAACTCTGGGAGTTGAATGCAATCATCACAGAGCAGTTTCTGAGAATGCTTCTATGTCGTTTTTAGGAGAAGATATTTCCTTTTCCAACACAGTCCTCCAAGCCCGCTAAATAGCCACTTGCACATTGAAGAAAAAGTGTGTCAAAGCTGCGCTATCAAAGGGAAAGTTCAACTCTGTGAGGTGAATGCAAACATCCCAAAGAAGTTTCTGAGAATGCTTCCGTTTAGCTTTTAGGTGAAGATTATCCCGTTTCCAACGAAACCTTCAAAGAGGTCCAAATATCCCCTTGCGGATCCCACAGAAAGAGTGTTTCGAAACTGCTGTTTCAAAAGGAATCTTCAACTCTGTGAGTTGAATGCAATCATCACAAAGAAGTTTCTGACAATGCTTCTCTCTCGTCTTTCTGTGAAGATAAAGGAAAAGGCTTTCAGGCCTTTTCCACCACAGGCCTGAAAGCGCTCCAAATGTCCACTTGCAGATTCTGCGAAAAGAATATTTCAAAACTGCTCTATGAAAAGCAATGTTAAACTCTGTGGCTGGAACACAAACATCACAAAGCGGTTTCTGAGAATGTTTCAGTTTAGTTTTTCTGTGGAAATATTCCCGTTTCCAAAGAAATCTTCAAAGAGGTCCACGTATCCACTTACAGATTCTACAAAAAGACAGTTTCAAAACTGCTCCATCAAAAGGAGGGTTCAACTGTGTGACTTGAATGCAATCATCACTCAGAAGTTTCTGAGAATGCTTCTCTTTAGTTTTTACGTGAACATATACCCGTTTCGAACGAAGGCCACCCAGTGGTCCAAATATCCACTTGCAGATTATACAGAAAGAGTGTTTCGAACCTGAACTCTCAAAGGCAGGTTCATCTCTGCGAGTTAAATGCATTCATCATGAAGAACTTTCTCAGAGTGTTTGTGTTTAGTTATGGGAAATTATTCCCGTTTCCAACGAAATCCTCAGAGAGCTCCAAATATCCACCTGCAGATTCTACCAAAAGTGTATTTGGAAACTGCTCCATCAAAAGGCATGTTCAGCTCTGTGAGTGAAACTCCATCATCACAAAGAATATTCTGAGAATGCTTCCGTTTGCCTTTTATATGAAGTTCCTTCCTGTACTACCGTAGGCCTCAAAGCAGTCCAAATCTCCATTTGCAGATTCTACAAAAAGAGTGATTCCAATCTGCTCTATCAAAAGGATTGTTCAACTCCATGAGTTGAATGCCATCCTCACAAAGCAGTTTCTGAGAATGCTTCTATCTGGTTTTTGTGTGAAGATATTTCCTTTTCCACCACAGGCCTCAAAGCCCTCCAAACGTCCACTTGCAGATTCTCGAAAAAGAGTGTTTCATAGCTGCTCTTTCAAAAGGAAAGTTCAACTCTGGGAGTTGAATACAAACATCACAAAATAGTTTCCGAGAATGCTTCTGTTTAGTTTCTATGTGAAGATGATCCCGTTTCCAGTGAAATCTTCAAAGAGGTCCACATATCCCCTTGCAGATTCCAAAGAAAGAGGGTTTCAAAACTGCTCCATCAGAAGGATTGTTCAACTCTGTGAGTTGAATGCAGTCATCGCAGAAAACTTTCTGAGAATGCTTCTGTCTAGGTTTGATGTGAAGATATAGACGTTTCAAACGAAGGCTACAAAGTGGTCAAAATATACACTTGCAGATTCTACTACAAGGGTGTTGCAAACCTGAACTATCAAAGGAAGGTTCAACTCTGTGAGTTGAATACAAACATCACAAAGAATGTTCTGAGTTTGCTTCCGTTCAGTTATGGGAAGTTGATCCCGTTTCCAACGAAATCCTCAGAGAGGTCCAAATATCCCCTCGCAGATTCTACAAAACGTGTGTTTGGAAACTGCTCCATCATAACGAATGTTCAGCTCCCTGAGTTAAACTCCATCGTCACAAAGAATTTTCTGAGAGTGCTACCGTCTGGTTTTTATATGAAGCTCTTTCCTTCACTACCACAGGCCTCAAAGCGGTCCAAATCTCCACTTGCAGATTCTACAAAAAGAGTGTTTGCAAACTGCTCTATCAAAAGGAATGTTCAACTCTGGGAGTTGAATGCAATCATCACAGAGCAGTTTCTGAGAATGCTTCTATGTCGTTTTTAGGAGAAGATATTTCCTTTTCCAACACAGTCCTCCAAGCCCGCTAAATAGCCACTTGCACATTGTAGAAAAAGTGTGTCAAAGCTGCGCTATCAAAGGGAAAGTTCAACTCTGTGAGGTGAATGCAAACATCCCAAAGAAGTTTCTGAGAATGCTTCCGTTTAGCTTTTAGGTGAAGATTATCCCGTTTCCAATGAAACCTTCAAAGAGGTCCAAATATCACCTTGCGGATCCCACAGAAAGAGTGTTTCGAAACTGCTGTTTCAAAAGGAATCTTCAACTCTGTGAGTTGAATGCAATCATCACAAAGAAGTTTCTGACAATGCTTCTCTCTCGTCTTTCTGTGAAGATAAAGGAAAAGGCTTTCAGGCCTTTTCCACCACAGGCCTGAAAGCGCTCCAAATGTCCACTTGCAGATTCTGCCAAAAGAATATTTCAAAACTGCTCTATGAAAAGCAATGTTAAACTCTGTGGCTCGAACACAAACATCACAAAGCGGTTTCTGAGAATGCTTCAGTTTAGTTTTTCTGTGGAAATATTCCCGTTTCCAAAGAAATCTTCAAAGAGGTCCACGTATCCACTTACAGATTCTACAAAAAGACAGTTTCAAAACTGCTCCATCAAAAGGAGGGTTCAACTGTGTGACTTGAATGCAATCATCACTCAGAAGTTTCTGAGAATGCTTCTCTTTAGTTTTTACGTGAACATATACCCGTTTCGAACGAAGGCCAGCCAGTGGTCCAAATATCCACTTGCAGATTCTACAGAAAGAGTGTTTCGAACCTGAACTCTCAAAGGCAGGTTCATCTCTGCGAGTTAAATGCATTCATCATGAAGAACTTTCTCAGAGTGTTTGTGTTTAGTTATGGGAAATTATTCCCGTTTCCAACGAAATCCTCAGAGAGCTCCAAATATCCACCTGCAGATTCTACCAAAAGTGTATTTGGAAACTGCTCCATCAAAAGGCATGCTCAGCTCTGTGAGTGAAACTCCATCATCACAAAGAATATTCTGAGAATGCTTCCGTTTGCCTTTTATATGAAGTTCCTTCCTATACTACCGTAGGCCTCAAAGCAGTCCAAATCTCCATTTGCAGATTCTACAAAAAGAGTGATTCCAATCTGCTCTATCAATAGGATTGTTCAACTCCATGAGTTGAAGGCCATCCTCACAAAGTCGTTTCTGAGTATGCTTCTATCTAGTTTTTATGTGAAGATATTTCCTTTTCCACCACAGGCCTCAAAGCCCTCCAAACGTCCACTTGCAGATTCTCGAAAAAGAGTGTTTCATAGCTGCTCTTTCAAAAGGAAAGTTCAACTCTGGGAGTTGAATACAAACATCACAAAGTAGTTTCCGAGAATGCTTCTGTTTAGTTCTTATGTGAAGATGATCCCGTTTCCAGTGAAATCTTCAAAGAGGTCCACATATCCCCTTGCAGATTCCAAAGAAAGAGGGTTTCAAAACTGCTCCATCAAAAGGATTGTTCAACTCTGTGAGTTGAATGCAGTCATCGCAGAAAACTTTCTGAGAATGCTTCTGTCTAGGTTTGATGTGAAGATATAGACGTTTCAAACGAAGGCTACAAAGTGGTCAAAATATACACTTGCAGATTCTACTACAAGGGTGTTGCAAACCTGAACTATCAAAGGAAGGTTCAACTCTGTGAGTTGAATACAAACATCGCAAAGAATGTTCTGAGTTTGCTTCCGTTCAGTTATGGGAAGTTGATCCCGTTTCCAACGAAATCCTCAGAGAGGTCCAAATATCCCCTTGCAGATTCTACAAAATGTGTGTTTGGAAACTGCTCCATCATAACGAATGTTCAGCTCTCTGAGTTAAACTCCATCGTCACAAAGAATTTTCTGAGAGTGCTACCGTCTAGTTTTTAAAGGAAGTTCTTTCCTTTACTACCACAGGCCTCAAAGCAGTCCAAATCTCCACTTGCAGATTCTACAAAAAGAGTGTTTGCAAACTGCTCTATCAAAAGGAATGTTCAACTCTGGGAGTTGAATGCAATCATCACAGAACAGTTTCTGAGAATGCTTCTATGTCGTTTTTAGGAGAAGATATTTCCTTTTCCAACACAGTCCTCAAAGCCCGCTAAATATCGACTTGCACATTGTAGAAAAAGTGTGTCGAAGCTGCGCTAACAAAGGGAAAGTTCAACTCTGTGAGGTGAATGCAAACATCCCAAAGAAGTTTCTGAGAATGCTTCCGTTTAGCTTTTAGGTGAAGATTATCCCGTTTCCAACGAAATCTTCAAAGAGGTCCAAATATCCCCTTGCGGATCTCACAGAAAGAGTGTTTCGAAACTGCTGTTTCAAAAGGAATCTTCAACTCTGTGAGTTGAATGCAATCATCACAAAGAAGTTTCTGACAATGCTTCTCTCTCGTCTTTCTGTGAAGATAAAGGAAAAGGCTTTCAGGCCTTTTCCACCACAGGCCTGAAAGCGCTCCAAATGTCCACTTGCAGATTCTGCCAAAAGAATATTTCAAAACTGCTCTATGAAAAGCAATGTTAAACTCTGTGGCTCGAACACAAACATCACAAAGCAGTTTCTGAGAATGCTTCAGTTTAGTTTTTCTGTGGAAATATTCCCGTTTCCAAAGAAATCTTCAAAGAGGTCCACGCATCCACTTACAGATTCTACAAAAAGACAGTTTCAAAACTGCTCAATCAAAAGGAGGGTTCAACTGTGTGACTGGAATGCAATCATCACTCAGAAGTTTCTGAGAACGCTTCTCTTTAGTTTTTACGTGAACATATACCCGTTTCGAACGAAGGCCAGCCAGTGGTCCAAATATCCACTTGCAGATTCTACAGAAAGAGTGTTTCGAACCTGAACTCTCAAAGGCAGGTTCATCTCTGCGCGTTAAATGCATTCATCATGAAGAACTTTCTCAGCGTGTTTGTGTTTAGTTATGGGAAATTATTCCCGTTTCCAACGAAATCCTCAGAGAGCTCCAAATATCCACCTGCAGATTCTACCAAAAGTGTATTTGGAAACTGCTCCATGAAAAGGCATGTTCAGCTCTGTGAGTGAAACTCCGTCATCACAAAGAATATTCTGAGAATGCTTCCGTTTGCCTTTTATATGAAGTTCCTTCCTATACTACCGTAGGCCTCAAAGCAGTCCAAATCTCCATTTGCAGATTCTACAAAAAGAGTGATTCCAATCTGCTCTATCAATAGGATTGTTCAACTCCATGAGTTGAATGCCATCCTCACAAAGTCGTTTCTGAGAATGCTTCTATCTAGTTTTTATGTGAAGATATTTCCTTTTCCACCACAGGCCTCAAAGCCCTCCAAACGTCCACTTGCAGATTCTCGAAAAAGAGTGTTTCATAGCTGCTCTTTCAAAAGGAAAGTTCAACTCTGGGAGTTGAATACAAACATCACAAAATAGTTTCCGAGAATGCTTCTGTTTAGTTTTTATGTGAAGATGATCCCGTTTCCAGTGAAATCTTCAAAGAGGTCCACATATCCCCTTGCAGATTCCAAAGAAAGAGGGTTTAAAAACTGCTCCATCAGAAGGATTGTTCAACTCTGTGAGTTGAATGCAGTCATCGCAGAAAACTTTCTGAGAATGCTTCTGTCTAGGTTTGATGTGAAGATATAGACGTTTCAAACGAAGGCTACAAAGTGGTCAAAATATACACTTGCAGATTCTACTACAAGGGTGTTGCAAACCTGAACTATCAAAGGAAGGTTCAACTCTGTGAATTGAATACAAACATCACAAAGAATGTTCTGAGTTTGCTTCCGTTCAGTTATGGGAAGTTGATCCCGTTTCCAACGAAATCCTCAGAGAGGTCCAAATATCCCCTCGCAGATTCTACAAAACGTGTGTTTGGAAACTGCTCCATCATAACGAATGTTCAGCTCCCTGAGTTAAACTCCATCGTCACAAAGAATTTTCTGAGAGTGCTACCGTCTGGTTTTTATATGAAGTTCTTTCCTTCACTACCACAGGCCTCAAAGCGGTCCAAATCTCCACTTGCAGATTCTACAAAAAGAGTGTTTGCAAACTGCTCTATCAAAAGGAATGTTCAACTCTGGGAGTTGAATGCAATCATCACAGAGCAGTTTCTGAGAATGCTTCTATGTCGTTTTTAGGAGAAGATATTTCCTTTTCCAACACAGTCCTCCAAGCCCGCTAAATAGCCACTTGCACATTGTAGAAAAAGTGTGTCAAAGCTGCGCTATCAAAGGGAAAGTTCAACTCTGTCAGGTGAATGCAAACATCCCAAAGAAGTTTCTGAGAATGCTTCCGTTTAGCTTTTAGGTGAAGATTATCCCGTTTCCAACGAAACCTTCAAAGAGGTCCAAATATCCCCTTGCGGATCCCACAGAAAGAGTGTTTCGAAACTGCTGTTTCAAAAGGAATCTTCAACTCTGTGAGTTGAATGCAATCATCACAAAGAAGTTTCTGACAATGCTTCTCTCTCGTCTTTCTGTGAAGATAAAGGAAAAGGCTTTCAGGCCTTTTCCACCACAGGCCTGAAAGCGCTCCAAATGTCCACTTGCAGATTCTGCCAAAAGAATATTTCAAAACTGCTCTATGAAAAGCAATGTTAAACTCTGTGGCTCGAACACAAACATCACAAAGCGGTTTCTGAGAATGCTTCAGTTTAGTTTTTCTGTGGAAATATTCCCGTTTCCAAAGAAATCTTCAAAGAGGTCCACGTATCCACTTACAGATTCTACAAAAAGACAGTTTCAAAACTGCTCCATCAAAAGGAGGGTTCTACTGTGTGACTTGAATGCAATCATCACTCACAAGTTTCTGAGAATGCTTCTCTTTAGTTTTTACGTGAACATATACCCGTTTCGAACGAAGGCCACCCAGTGGTCCAAATATCCACTTGCAGATTCTACAGAAAGAGTGTTTCGAACCTGAACTCTCAAAGGCAGGTTCATCTCTGCGAGTTAAATGCATTCATCATGAAGAACTTTCTCAGAGTGTTTGTGTTTAGTTATGGGAAATTATTCCCGTTTCCAACGAAATCCTCAGAGAGCTCCAAATATCCACCTGCAGATTCTACCAAAAGTGTATTTGGAAACTGCTCCATCAAAAGGCATGTTCAGCTCTGTGAGTGAAACTCCATCATCACAAAGAATATTCTGAGAATGCTTCCGTTTGCCTTTTATATGAAGTTCCTTCCTATACTACCGTAGGCCTCAAAGCAGTCCAAATCTCCATTTGCAGATTCTACAAAAAGAGTGATTCCAATCTGCTCTACCAATAGGATTGTTCAACTCCATGAGTTGAATGCCATCCTCACAAAGTCGTTTCTGAGAAAGCTTCTATCTAGTTTTTATGTGAAGATATTTCCTTTTCCACCACAGGCCTCAAAGCCCTCCAAACGTCCACTTGCAGATTCTCGAAAAAGAGTGTTTCATAGCTGCTCTTTCAAAAGGAAAGTTCAACTCTGGGAGTTGAATACAAACATCACAAAGTAGTTTCCGAGAATGCTTCTGTTTAGTTTTTATGTGAAGATGATCCCGTTTCCAGTGAAATCTTCAAAGAGGTCCACATATCCCCTTGCAGATTCCAAAGAAAGAGGGTTTCAAAACTGCTCCATCAGAAGGATTGTTCAACTCTGTGAGTTGAATGCAGTCATCGCAGAAAACTTTCTGAGAATGCTTCTGTCTAGGTTTGATGTGAAGATATAGACGTTTCAAACGAAGGCTACAAAGTGTTCAAAATATACACTTGCAGATTCTACTACAAGGGTGTTGCAAACCTGAACTATCAAAGGAAGGTTCAACTCTGTGAGTTGAATACAAACATCACAAAGAATGTTCTGAGTTTGCTTCCGTTCAGTTATGGGAAGTTGATCCCGTTTCCAACGAAATCCTCAGAGAGGTCCAAATATCCCCTTGCAGATTCTACAAAACGTGTGTTTGGAAACTGCTCCATCATAACGAATGTTCAGCTCCCTGAGTTAAACTCCATCGTCACAAAGAATTTTCTGAGAGTGCTACCGTCTGGTTTTTATATGAAGCTCTTTCCTTCACTACCACAGGCCTCAAAGCGGTCCAAATCTCCACTTGCAGATTCTACAAAAAGAGTGTTTGCAAACTGCTCTATCAAAAGGAATGTTCAACTCTGGGAGTTGAATGCAATCATCACAGAGCAGTTTCTGAGAATGCTTCTATGTCGTTTTTAGGAGAAGATATTTCCTTTTCCAACACAGTCCTCCAAGCCCGCTAAATAGCCACTTGCACATTGTAGAAAAAGTGTGTCAAAGCTGCGCTATCAAAGGGAAAGTTCAACTCTGTGAGGTGAATGCAAACATCCCAAAGAAGTTTCTGAGAATGCTTCCGTTTAGCTTTTAGGTGAAGATTATCCCGTTTCCAACGAAACCTTCAAAGAGGTCCAAATATCCCCTTGCGGATCCCACAGAAAGAGTGTTTCGAAACTGCTGTTTCAAAAGGAATCTTCAACTCTGTGAGTTGAATGCAATCATCACAAAGAAGTTTCTGACAATGCTTCTCTCTCGTCTTTCTGTGAAGATAAAGAAAAGGCTTTCAGGCCTTTTCCACCACAGGCCTGAAAGCGCTCCAAATGTCCACTTGCAGATTCTGCGAAAAGAATATTTCAAAACTGCTCTATGAAAAGCAATGTTAAACTCTGTGGCTGGAACACAAACATCACAAAGCAGTTTCTGAGAATGCTTCAGTTTAGTTTTTCTGTGGAAATATTCCCGTTTCCAAAGAAATCTTCAAAGAGGTCCACGTATCCACTTACAGATTCTACAAAAAGACAGTTTCAAAACTGCTCCATCAAAAGGAGGGTTCAACTGTGTGACTTGAATGCAATCATCACTCAGAAGTTTCTGAGAATGCTTCTCTTTAGTTTTTACGTGAACATATACCCGTTTCGAACGAAGGCCACCCAGTGGTCCAAATATCCACTTGCAGATTATACAGAAAGAGTGTTTCGAACCTGAACTCTCAAAGGCAGGTTCATCTCTGCGAGTTAAATGCATTCATCATGAAGAACTTTCTCAGAGTGTTTGTGTTTAGTTATGGGAAATTATTCCCGTTTCCAACGAAATCCTCAGAGAGGTCCAAATATCCACCTGCAGATTCTACCAAAAGTGTATTTGGAAACTGCTCCATCAAAAGGCATGTTCAGCTCTGTGAGTGAAACTCCATCATCACAAAGGAGATATTCTGAGAATGCTTCCGTTTGCCTTTTATATGAAGTTCCTTCCTATACTACCGTAGGCCTCAAAGCAGTCCAAATCTCCATTTGCAGATTCTACAAAAAGAGTGATTCCAATCTGCTCTATCAATAGGATTGTTCAACTCCATGAGTTGAATTCCATCCTCACAATGTCGTTTGTGAGAATGCTTCTATCTAGTTTTTATGTGAAGATATTTCCTTTTCCACCACAGGCCTCAAAGCCCTCCAAACGTCCACTTGCAGATTCTCGAAAAAGAGTGTTTCATAGCTGCTCTTCCAAAAGGAAAGTTCAACTCTGGGAGTTGAATACAAACATCCCAAAGTAGTTTCCGAGAATGCTTATATTTAGTTTTTATGTGAAGATGATCCCGTTTCCAGTGAAATCTTCAAAGAGGTCCACATATTCCCTTGCAGATTCCAAAGAAAGAGGGTTTCAAAACTGCTCCATCAGAAGGATTGTTCAACTCTGTGAGTTGAATGCAGTCATCGCAGAAAACTTTCTAAGAATGCTTCTGTCTAGGTTTGATGTGAAGATATAGACGTTTCAAACGAAGGCTACAAAGTGGTCAAAATATACACTTGCAGATTCTACTACAAGGGTGTTGCAAACCTGAACTATCAAAGGAAGGTTCAACTCTGTGAGTTGAATACAAACATCACAAAGAATGTTCTGAGTTTGCTTCCGTTCAGTTATGGGAAGTTGATCCCGTTTCCAACGAAATCCTCAGAGAGGTCCAAATATCCCCTCACAGATTCTACAAAACGTGTGTTTGGAAACTGCTCCATCATAACGAATGTTCAGCTCCCTGAGTTAAACTCCATCGTCACAAAGAATTTTCTGAGAGTGCTACCGTCTGGTTTTTATATGAAGTTCTTTCCTTCACTACCACAGGCCTCAAAGCGGTCCAAATCTCCACTTGCAGATTCTACAAAAAGAGTGTTTGCAAACTGCTCTATCAAAAGGAATGTTCAACTCTGGGAGTTGAATGCAATCATCACAGAGCAGTTTCTGAGAATGCTTCTATGTCGTTTTTAGGAGAAGATATTTCCTTTTCCAACACAGTCCTCCAAGCCCGCTAAATAGCCACTTGCACATTGTAGAAAAAGTGTGTCGAAGCTGCGCTATCAAAGGGAAAGTTCAACTCTGTGAGGTGAATGCAAACATCCCAAAGAAGTTTCTGAGAATGCTTCCGTTTAGCTTTTAGGTGAAGATTATCCCGTTTCCAACGAAATCTTCAAAGAGGTCCAAATATCCCCTTGCGGATCCCACAGAAAGAGTGTTTCGAAACTGCTGTTTCAAAAGGAATCTTCAACTCTGTGGGTTGAATGCAATCATCACAAAGAAGTTTCTGACAATGCTTTCTCTCTCGTCTTTCTGTGAAGATAAAGGAAAAGGCTTTCAGGCCTTTTCCACCCACAGGCCTGAAAGCGCTCCAAATGTCCACTTGCAGATTCTTCCAAAAGAATATTTCAAAACTGCTCTATGAAAAGCAATGTTAAACTCTGCGGCTCGAACACAAACATCACAAAGCAGTTTCAGAGAATGCTTCAGTTTAGTTTTTCTGTGGAAATATTCCCGTTTCCAAAGAAATCTTCAAAGAGGTCCACGCATCCACTTACAGATTCTACAAAAAGACAGTTTCAAAACTGCTCAATCAAAAGGAGGGTTCAACTGTGTGACTTGAATGCAATCATCACTCAGAAGTTTCTGAGAACGCTTCTCTTTAGTTTTTACGTGAACATATACCCGTTTCGAACGAAGGCCACCCAGTGGTCCAAATACCCACTTGCAGATTCTACAGAAAGAGTGTTTCGAACCTGAACTCTCAAAGGCAGGTTCATCTCTGCGAGTTAAATGCATTCATCATGAAGAACTTTCTCAGCGTGTTTGTGTTTAGTTATGGGAAATTATTCCCGTTCCCAACGAAATCCTCAGAGAGGTCCAAATGTCCACCTGCAGATTCTACCAAAAGTGTATTTGGAAACTGCTCCATCAACAGGCATGTTCAGCTCTGTGAGTGAAACTCCATCATCACAAAGAATATTCTGAGAATGCTTCCGTTTGCCTTTTATATGAAGTTCCTTCCTATACGACCGTAGGCCTCAAAGCAGTGCAAATCTCCATTTGCAGATTCTACAAAAAGAGTGATTCCAATCTGCTCTATCAATAGGATTGTTCAACTCCATGAGTTGAATGCCATCCTCACAAAGTCGTTTCTGAGAATGCTTCTATCTAGTTTTTATGTGAAGATATTTCCTTTTCCACCACAGGCCTCAAAGCCCTCCAAACGTCCACTTGCAGATTCTCGAAAAAGAGTGTTTCATAGCTGCTCTTTCAAAAGGAAAGTTCAACTCTGGGAGTTGAATACAAACATCACAAAGTAGTTTCCGAGAATGCTTCTGTTTAGTTTTTATGTGAAGATGATCCCGTTTCCAGTGAAATCTTCAAAGAGGTCCACATATCCCCTTGCAGATTCCAAAGAAAGAGGGTTTCAAAACTGCTCCATCAATAGGATTGTTCAACTCTGTGAGTTGAATGCAGTCATCGCAGAAAACTTTCTGAGAATGCTTCTGTCTAGGTTTGATGTGAAGATATAGACGTTTCAAACGAAGGCTACAACGTGGTCAAAATATACACTTGCAGATTCTACTACAAGGGTGTTGGAAACCTGAAGTATCAAAGGATGGTTCAACTCTGTGAGTTGAATACAAACATCACAAAGAATGTTCTGAGTTTGCTTCCGTTCAGTTATGGGAAGTTGATCCCGTTTCCAACGAAATCCTCAGAGAGGTCCAAATATCCCCTCGCAGATTCTACAAAACGTTTGTTTGGAAACTGCTCCATCATAACGAATGTTCAGCTCCCTGAGTTAAACTCCATCGTCACAAAGAATTTTCTGAGAGTGCTACCGTCTGGTTTTTATATGAAGTTCTTTCCTTCACTACCACAGGCCTCAAAGCGGTCCAAATCCCCACTTGCAGATTCTACAAAAAGAGTGTTTGCAAACTGCTCTATCAAAAGGAATGTTCAACTCTGGGAGTTGAATGCAATCATCACAGAGCAGTTTCTGAGAATGCTTCTATGTCGTTTTTAGGAGAAGATATTTCCTTTTCCAACACAGTCCTCCAAGCCCGCTAAATAGCCACTTGCACATTGTAGAAAAAGTGTGTCAAAGCTGCGCTATCAAAGGGAAAGTTCAACTCTGTGAGGTGAATGCAAACATCCCAAAGAAGTTTCTGAGAATGCTTCCGTTTAGCTTTTAGGTGAAGATTATCCCGTTTCCAACGAAACCTTCAAAGAGGTCCAAATATCCCCTTGCGGATCCCACAGAAAGAGTGTTTCGAAACTGCTGTTTCAAAAGGAATCTTCAACTCTGTGAGTTGAATGCAATCATCACAAAGAAGTTTCTGACAATGCTTCTCTCTCGTCTTTCTGTGAAGATAAAGGAAAAGGCTTTCAGGCCTTTTCCACCACAGGCCTGAAAGCGCTCCAAATGTCCACTTGCAGATTCTGCCAAAAGAATATTTCAAAACTGCTCTATGAAAAGCAATGTTAAACTCTGTGGCTGGAACACAAACATCACAAAGCGGTTTCTGAGAATGTTTCAGTTTAGTTTTTCTGTGGAAATATTCCCGTTTCCAAAGAAATCTTCAAAGAGGTCCACGTATCCACTTACAGATTCTACAAAAAGACAGTTTCAAAACTGCTCCATCAAAAGGAGGGTTCAACTGTGTGACTTGAATGCAATCATCACTCAGAAGTTTCTGAGAATGCTTCTCTTTAGTTTTTACGTGAACATATACCCGTTTCGAACGAAGGCCACCCAGTGGTCCAAATATCCACTTGCAGATTATACAGAAAGAGTGTTTCGAACCTGAACTCTCAAAGGCAGGTTCATCTCTGCGAGTTAAATGCATTCATCATGAAGAACTTTCTCAGAGTGTTTGTGTTTAGTTATGGGAAATTATTCCCGTTTCCAACGAAATCCTCAGAGAGCTCCAAATATCCACCTGCAGATTCTACCAAAAGTGTATTTGGAAACTGCTCCATCAAAAGGCATGTTCAGCTCTGTCAGTGAAGCTCCATCATCACAAAGAATATTCTGAGAATGCTTCCGTTTGCCTTTTATATGAAGTTCCTTCCTGTACTACCGTAGGCCTCAAAGCAGTCCAAATCTCCATTTGCAGATTCTACAAAAAGAGTGATTCCAATCTGCTCTATCAATAGGATTGTTCAACTCCATGAGTTGAATGCCATCCTCACAAAGTCGTTTCTGAGAATGCTTCTATCTGGTTTTTGTGTGAAGATATTTCCTTTTCCACCACAGGCCTCAAAGCCCTCCAAACGTCCACTTGCAGATTCTCGAAAAAGAGTGTTTCATAGCTGCTCTTTCAAAAGGAAAGTTCAACTCTGGGAGTTGAATACAAACATCACAAAATAGTTTCCGAGAATGCTTCTGTTTAGTTTTTATGTGAAGATGATCCCGTTTCCAGTGAAATCTTCAAAGAGGTCCACATATCCCCTTGCAGATTCCAAAGAAAGAGGGTTTAAAAACTGCTCCATCAGAAGGATTGTTCAACTCTGTGAGTTGAATGCAGTCATCGCAGAAAACTTTCTGAGAATGCTTCTGTCTAGGTTTGATGTGAAGATATAGACGTTTCAAACGAAGGCTACAAAGTGGTCAAAATATACACTTGCAGATTCTACTACAAGGGTGTTGCAAACCTGAACTATCAAAGGAAGGTTCAACTCTGTGAATTGAATACAAACATCACAAAGAATGTTCTGAGTTTGCTTCCGTTCAGTTATGGGAAGTTGATCCCGTTTCCAACGAAATCCTCAGAGAGGTCCAAATATCCCCTCGCAGATTCTACAAAACGTGTGTTTGGAAACTGCTCCATCATAACGAATGTTCAGCTCCCTGAGTTAAACTCCATCGTCACAAAGAATTTTCTGAGAGTGCTACCGTCTGGTTTTTATATGAAGTTCTTTCCTTCACTACCACAGGCCTCAAAGCGGTCCAAATCTCCACTTGCAGATTCTACAAAAAGAGTGTTTGCAAACTGCTCTATCAAAAGGAATGTTCAACTCTGGGAGTTGAATGCAATCATCACAGAGCAGTTTCTGAGAATGCTTCTATGTCGTTTTTAG
The DNA here is from genome assembly GCF_000001405.40 of Homo sapiens. Lineage (NCBI taxonomy): Eukaryota > Metazoa > Chordata > Mammalia > Primates > Hominidae > Homo > Homo sapiens. Next base: position 59,377,945 of record NC_000023.11, on the reverse strand, counting down.
GAGAAGATATTTCGTTTTCCAACACAGTCCTCCAAGCCCGCTAAATAGCCACTTGCACATTGTAGAAAAAGTGTGTCAAAGCTGCGCTATCAAAGGGAAAGTTCAACTCTGTGAGGTGAATGCAAACATCCCAAAGAAGTTTCTGAGAATGTTTCCGTTTAGCTTTTAGGTGAAGATTATCCCGTTTCCAACGAAACCTTCAAAGAGGTCCAAATATCCCCTTGCGGATCCCACAGAAAGAGTGTTTCGAAACTGCTGTTTCAAAAGGAATCTTCAACTCTGTGAGTTGAATGCAATCATCACAAAGAAGTTTCTGACAATGCTTCTCTCTCGTCTTTCTGTGAAGATAAAGGAAAAGGCTTTCAGGCCTTTTCCACCACAGGCCTGAAAGCGCTCCAAATGTCCACTTGTAGATTCTGCCAAAAGAATATTTCAAAACTGCTCTATGAAAAGCAATGTTAAACTCTGTGGCTCGAACACAAACATCACAAAGCAGTTTCTGAGAATGCTTCAGTTTAGTTTTTCTGTGGAAATATTCCCGTTTCCAAAGGAAATCTTCAAAGAGGTCCACGTATCCACTTACAGATTCTACAAAAAGACAGTTTCAAAACTGCTCCATCAAAAGGAGGGTTCAACTGTGTGACTTGAATGCAATCATCACTCAGAAGTTTCTGAGAATGCTTCTCTTTAGTTTTTACGTGAACATATACCCGTTTCGAACGAAGGCCACCCAGTGGTCCAAATATCCACTTGCAGATTATACAGAAAGAGTGTTTCGAACCTGAACTCTCAAAGGCAAGTTCATCTCTGCAAGTTAAATGCATTCATCATGAAGAACTTTCTCAGAGTGTTTGTGTTTAGTTATGGGAAATTATTCCCGTTTCCAACGAAATCCTCAGAGAGCTCCAAATATCCACCTGCAGATTCTACCAAAAGTGTATTTGGAAACTGCTCCATCAAAAGGCATGTTCAGCTCTGTGAGTGAAACTCCATCATCACAAAGAATATTCTGAGAATGCTTCCGTTTGCCTTTTATATGAAGTTCCTTCCTATACGACCGTAGGCCTCAAAGCAGTCCAAATCTCCATTTGCAGATTCTACAAAAAGAGTGATTCCAATCTGCTCTATCAATAGGATTGTTCAACTCCATGAGTTGAATGCCATCCTCACAAAGTCGTTTCTGAGAATGCTTCTATCTAGTTTTTATGTGAAGATATTTCCTTTTCCACCACAGGCCTCAAAGCCTTCCAAACGTCCACTTGCAGATTCTCGAAAAAGAGTGTTTCATAGCTGCTCTTTCAAAAGGAAAGTTCAACTCTGGGAGTTGAATACAAACATCACAAAGTAGTTTCCGAGAATGCTTCTGTTTAGTTCTTATGTGAAGATGATCCCGTTTCCAGTGAAACCTTCAAAGAGGTCCACATATCCCCTTGCAGATTCCAAAGAAAGAGGGGTTCAAAACTGCTCCATCAAAAGGATTGTTCAACTCTGTGAGTTGAATGCAGTCATCGCAGAAAACTTTCTGAGAATGCTTCTGTCTAGGTTTGATGTGAAGATATAGACGTTTCAAACGAAGGCTACAAAGTGGTCAAAATATACACTTGCAGATTCTACTACAAGGGTGATGCAAACCTGAACTATCAAAGGAAGGTTCAACTCTGTGAGTTGAATACAAACATCACAAAGAATGTTCTGAGTTTGCTTCCGTTCAGTTATGGGAAGTTGATCCCGTTTCCAACGAAATCCTCAGAGAGGTCCAAATATCCCCTTGCAGATTCTACAAAACGTGTGTTTGGAAACTGCTCCATCATAACGAATGTTCAGCTCTCTGAGTTAAACTCCATCGTCACAAAGAATTTTCTGAGGGTGCTACCGTCTAGTTTTTATATGAAGTTCTTTCCTTTACTACCACAGGCCTCAAAGCGGTCCAAATCTCCACTTGCAGATTCTACAAAAAAGTGTTTGCAAACTGCTCTATCAAAAGGAATGTTCAACTCTGGGAGTTGAATGCAATCATCACAGAGCAGTTTCTGAGAATGCTTCTATGTCGTTTTTAGGAGAAGATATTTCCTTTTCCAACACAGTCCTCCAAGCCCGCTAAATATCCACTTGCACATTGTAGAAAAAGTGTGTCGAAGCTGCGCTATCAAAGGGAAAGTTCAACTCTGTGAGGTGAATGCAAACATCCCAAAGAAGTTTCTGAGAATGCTTCCGTTTAGCTTTTAGGTGAAGATTATCCCGTTTCCAACGAAATCTTCAAAGAGGTCCAAATATCCCCTTGCGGATCCCACAGAAAGAGTGTTTCGAAACTGCTGTTTCAAAAGGAATCTTCAACTCTGTGAGTTGAATGCAATCATCACAAAGAAGTTTCTGACAATGCTTCTCTCTCGTCTTTCTGTGAAGATAAAGGAAAAGGCTTTCAGGCCTTTTCCACCACAGGCCTGAAAGCGCTCCAAATGTCCACTTGCAGATTCTGCCAAAAGAATATTTCAAAACTGCTCTATGAAAAGCAATGTTAAACTCTGTGGCTCGAACACAAACATCACAAAGCGGTTTCTGAGAATGCTTCAGTTTAGTTTTTCTGTGGAAATATTCCCGTTTCCAAAGAAATCTTCAAAGAGGTCCACGTATCCACTTACAGATTCTACAAAAAGACAGTTTCAAAACTGCTCCATCAAAAGGAGGGTTCAACCGTGTGACTTGAATGCAATCATCACTCAGAAGTTTCTGAGAATGCTTCTCTTTAGTTTTTACGTGAGCATATACCCGTTTCGAACGAAGGCCACCCAGTGGTCCAAATATCCACTTGCAGATTATACAGAAAGAGTGTTTCGAACCTGAACTCTCAAAGGCAGGTTCATCTCTGCGAGTTAAATGCATTCATCATGAAGAACTTTCTCAGAGTGTTTGTGTTTAGTTATGGGAAATTATTCCCGTTTCCAACGAAATCCTCTGAGAGCTCCAAATATCCACCTGCAGATTCTACCAAAAGTGTATTTGGAAACTGCTCCATCAAAAGGCATGTTCAGCTCTGTGAGTGAAACTCCATCATCACAAAGAATATTCTGAGAATGCTTCCGTTTGCCTTTTATATGAAGTTCCTTCCTGTACTACCGTAGGCCTCAAAGCAGTCCAAATCTCCATTTGCAGATTCTATAAAAAGAGTGATTCCAATCTGCTCTATCAATAGGATTGTTCAACTCCATGAGTTGAATGCCATCCTCACAAAGTAGTTTCTGAGAATGCTTCTATCTGGTTTTTGTGTGAAGATATTTCCTTTTCCACCACAGGCCTCAAAGCCCTCCAAACGTCCACTTGCAGATTCTCGAAAAAGAGTGTTTCATAGCTGCTCTTTCAAAAGGAAAGTTCAACTCTGGGAGTTGAATACAAACATCACAAAGTAGTTTCCGAGAATGCTTCTGTTTAGTTTTTATGTGAAGATGATCGATCCCGTTTCCAGTGAAATCTTCAAAGAGGTCCACATATCCCCTTGCAGATTCCAAAGAAAGAGGGTTTCAAAACTGCTCCATCAGAAGGATTGTTCAACTCTGTGAGTTGAATGCAGTCATCGCAGAAAACTTTCTGAGAATGCTTCTGTCTAGGTTTGATGTGAAGATATAGACGTTTCAAACGAAGGCTACAAAGTGGTCAAAATATACACTTGCAGATTCTACTACAAGGGTGTTGCAAACCTGAACTATCAAAGGAAGGTTCAACTCTGTGAGTTGAATACAAACATCACAGAGAATGTTCTGAGTTTGCTTCCGTTCAGTTATGGGAAGTTGATCCCGTTTCCAACGAAATCCTCAGAGAGGTCCAAATATCCCCTCGCAGATTCTACAAAACGTGTGTTTGGAAACTGCTCCATCATAACGAATGTTCAGCTCCCTGAGTTAAACTCCATCGTCACAAAGAATTTTCTGAGAGTGCTACCGTCTGGTTTTTATATGAAGTTCTTTCCTTCACTACCACAGGCCTCAAAGCGGTCCAAATCTCCACTTGCAGATTCTACAAAAAGAGTGTTTGCAAACTGCTCTATCAAAAGGAATGTTCAACTCTGGGAGTTGAATGCAATCATCACAGAGCAGTTTCTGAGAATGCTTCTATGTCGTTTTTAGGAGAAGATATTTCCTTTTCCAACACAGTCCTCCAAGCCCGCTAAATAGCCACTTGCACATTGTAGAAAAAGTGTGTCAAAGCTGCGCTATCAAAGGGAAAGTTCAACTCTGTGAGGTGAATGCAAACATCCCAAAGAAGTTTCTGAGAATGCTTCCGTTTAGCTTTTAGGTGAAGATTATCCCGTTTCCAACGAAACCTTCAAAGAGGTCCAAATATCCCCTTGCGGATCCCACAGAAAGAGTGTTTCGAAACTGCTGTTTCAAAAGGAATCTTCAACTCTGTGAGTTGAATGCAATCATCACAAAGAAGTTTCTGACAATGCTTCTCTTTCTGTGAAGATAAAGGAAAAGGCTTTCAGGCCTTTTCCACCACAGGCCTGAAAGCGCTCCAAATGTCCACTTGCAGATTCTGCCAAAAGAATATTTCAAAACTGCTCTATGAAAAGCAATGTTAAACTCTGTGGCTGGAACACAAACATCACAAAGCGGTTTCTGAGAATGTTTCAGTTTAGTTTTTCTGTGGAAATATTCCCGTTTCCAAAGAAATCTTCAAAGAGGTCCACGTATCCACTTACAGATTCTACAAAAAGACAGTTTCAAAACTGCTCCATCAAAAGGAGGGTTCAACTGTGTGACTTGAATGCAATCATCACTCAGAAGTTTCTGAGAATGCTTCTCTTTAGTTTTTACGTGAACATATACCCGTTTCGAACGAAGGCCAGCCAGTGGTCCAAATATCCACTTGCAGATTCTACAGAAAGAGTGTTTCGAACCTGAACTCTCAAAGGCAGGTTCATCTCTGCGAGTTAAATACATTCATCATGAAGAACTTTCTCAGAGTGTTTGTGTTTAGTTATGGGAAATTATTCCCGTTTCCAACGAAATCCTCAGAGAGCTCCAAATATCCACCTGCAGATTCTACCAAAAGTGTATTTGGAAACTGCTCCATCAAAAGGCATGTTCAGCTCTGTGAGTGAAACTCCATCATCACAAAGAATATTCTGAGAATGCTTCCGTTTGCCTTTTATATGAAGTTCCTTCCTATACTACCGTAGGCCTCAAAGCAGTCCAAATCTCCATTTGCAGATTCTACAAAAAGAGTGATTCCAATCTGCTCTATCAATAGGACTGTTCAACTCCATGAGTTGAATGCCATCCTCACAAAGTCGTTTCTGAGAATGCTTCTATGTAGTTTTTATGTGAAGATATTTCCTTTTCCACCACAGGCCTCAAAGCCCTCCAAACGTCCACTTGCAGATTCTCGAAAAAGAGTGTTTCATAGCTGCTCTTTCAAAAGGAAAGTTCAACTCTGGGAGTTGAATACAAACATCACAAAGTAGTTTCCGAGAATGCTTCTGTTTAGTTCTTATGTGAAGATGATCCCGTTTCCAGTGAAATCTTGAAAGAGGTCCACATATCCCCTTGCAGATTCCAAAGAAAGAGGGTTTCAAAACTGCTCCATCAAAAGGATTGTTCAACTCTGTGAGTTGAATGCAGTCATCGCAGAAAACTTTCTGAGAATGCTTCTGTTTAGGTTTGATGTGAAGATATAGACGTTTCAAACGAAGGCTACAAAGTGGTCAAAATATACACTTGCAGATTCTACTACAAGGGTGATGCAAACCTCAACTATCAAAGGAAGGTTCAACTCTGTGAGTTGAATACAAACATCACAAAGAATGTTCTGAGTTTGCTTCCGTTCAGTTATGGGAAGTTGATCCCATTTCCAACGAAATCCTCAGAGAGGTCCAAATATCCCTTTGCAGATTCTACAAAATGTGTGTTTGGAAACTGCTCCATCATAACGAATGTTCAGCTCTCTGAGTTAAACTCTATCGTCACAAAGAATTTTACTGAGAGTGCTACCGTCTAGTTTTTATATGAAGTTCTTTCCTTTACTACCACAGGCCTCAAAGCGGTCCAAATCTCCACTTGCAGATTCTACAAAAAGAGTGTTTGCAAACTGCTCTATCAAAAGGAATGTTCAACTATGGGAGTTGAATGCAATCATCACAGAGCAGTTTCTGAGAATGCTTCTATGTCGTTTTTAGGAGAAGATATTTCCTTTTCCAACACAGTCCTCCAAGCCCGCTAAATATCCACTTGCACATTGTAGAAAAAGTGTGTCGAAGCTGCGCTATCAAAGGGAAAGTTCAACTCTGTGAGGTGAATGCAAACATCCCAAAGAAGTTTCTGAGAATGCTTCCGTTTAGCTTTTAGGTGAAGATTATCCCGTTTCCAACGAAATCTTCAAAGAGGTCCAAATATCCCCTTGCGGATCCCACAGAAAGAGTGTTTCGAAACTGCTGTTTCAAAAGGAATCTTCAACTCTGTGAGTTGAATGCAATCATCACAAAGAAGTTTCTGACAATGCTTCTCTCTCGTCTTTCTGTGAAGATAAAGGAAAAGGCTTTCAGGCCTTTTCCACCACAGGCCTGAAAGCGCTCCAAATGTCCACTTGCAGATTCTGCCAAAAGAATATTTCAAAACTGCTCTATGAAAAGCAATGTTAAACTCTGTGGCTCGAACACAAACATCACAAAGCAGTTTCTGAGAATGCTTCAGTTTAGTTTTTCTGTGGAAATATTCCCGTTTCCAAAGAAATCTTCAAAGAGGTCCACGTATCCACTTACAGATTCTACAAAAAGACAGTTTCAAAACTGCTCAATCAAAAGGAGGGTTCAACTGTGTGACTTGAATGCAATCATCACTCAGAAGTTTCTGAGAATGCTTCTCTTTAGTTTTTACGTGAACATATACCCTTTTCGAACGAAGGCCAGCCAGTGGTCCAAATATCCACTTGGAGATTCTACAGAAAGAGTGTTTCGAACCTGAACTCTCAAAGGCAGGTTCATCTCTGCGAGTTAAATGCATTCATCATGAAGAACTTTCTCAGTGTGTTTGTGTTTAGTTATGGGAAATTATTCCCGTTTCCAACGATATCCTCAGAGAGGTCCAAATATCCACCTGCAGATTCTACCAAAAGTTTATTTGGAAACTGCTCCATCAAAAGGCATGTTCAGCTCTGTGAGTGAAACTCCATCATCACAAAGAATATTCTGAGAATGCTTCCATTTGCCTTTTATATGAAGTTCCTTCCTATACTACCGTAGACCTCAAAGCAGTCCAAATCTCCATTTGCAGATTCTACAAAAAGAGTGATTCCAATCTGTTCTATCAATAGGGTTGTTCATCTCCATGAGTTGAATGCCATCCTCACAAAGTCGTTTCTGAGAATGCTTCTATCTAGTTTTTATGTGAAGATATTTCCTTTTCCACCACAGGCCTCAAAGCCCTCCAAACGTCCACTTGCAGATTCTCGAAAAAGTGTGTTTCATAGCTGCTCTTTCAAAAGGAAAGTTCAACTCTGGGAGTTGAATACAAACATCACAAAGTAGTTTCCGAGAATGCTTCTGTTTAGTTCTTATGTGAAGATGATCCCGTTTCCAGTGAAATCTTCAAAGAGGTCCACATATCCCCTTGCAGATTCCAAAGAAAGAGGGTTTCAAAACTGCTCCATCAAAAGGATTGTTCAACTCTGTGAGTTGAATGCAGTCATCGCAGAAAACTTTCTGAGAATGCTTCTGTCTAGGTTTGATGTGAAGATATAGCATGTTTCAAACGAAGGCTACAAAGTGGTCAAAATATACACTTGCAGATTCTACTACAAGGGTGTTGCAAACCTGAACTATCAAAGGAAGGTTCAACTCTGTGAGTTGAATACAAACATCACAAAGAATGTTCTGAGTTTGCTTCCGTTCAGTTATGGGAAGTTGATCCCGTTTCCAACGAAATCCTCAGAGAGGTCCAAATATCCCCTTGCAGATTCTACAAAACGTGTGTTTGGAAACTGCTCCATCATAACGAATGTTGAGCTCCCTGAGTTAAACTCCATCGTCACAAAGAATTTTCTGAGAGTGCTACCGTCTGGTTTTTATATGAAGTTCTTTCCTTCACTACCACAGGCCTCAAAGCGGTCCAAATCTCCACTTGCAGATTCTACAAAAAGAGTGTTTGCAAACTGCTCTATCAAAAGGAATGTTCAACTCTGGGAGTTGAATGCAATCATCACAGAGCAGTTTCTGAGAATGCTTCTATGTCGTTTTTAGGAGAAGATATTTCCTTTTCCAACACAGTCCTCCAAGCCCGCTAAATAGCCACTTGCACATTGTAGAAAAAGTGTGTCAAAGCTGCGCTATCAAAGGGAAAGTTCAACTCTGTGAGGTGAATGCAAACATCCCAAAGAAGTTTCTGAGAATGCTTCCGTTTAGCTTTTAGGTGAAGATTATCCCGTTTCCAACGAAACCTTCAAAGAGGTCCAAATATCCCCTTGCGGATCCCACAGAAAGAGTGTTTCGAAACTGCTGTTTCAAAAGGAATCTTCAACTCTGTGAGTTGAATGCAATCATCACAAAGAAGTTTCTGACAATGCTTCTCTCTCGTCTTTCTGTGAAGATAAAGGAAAAGGCTTTCAGGCCTTTTCCACCACAGGCCTGAAAGCGCTCCAAATGTCCACTTGCAGATTCTGCGAAAAGAATATTTCAAAACTGCTCTATGAAAAGCAATGTTAAACTCTGCGGCTCGAACACAAACATCACAAAGCGGTTTCTGAGAATGCTTCAGTTTAGTTTTTCTGTGGAAATATTCCCGTTTCCAAAGAAATCTTCAAAGAGGTCCACGTATCCACTTACAGATTCTACAAAAAGACAGTTTCAAAACTGCTCCATCAAAAGGAGGGTTCAACCGTGTGACTTGAATGCAATCATCACTCAGAAGTTTCTGAGAATGCTTCTCTTTAGTTTTTACGTGAACATATACCCGTTTCGAACGAAGGCCACCCAGTGGTCCAAATATCCACTTGCAGATTATACAGAAAGAGTGTTTCGAACCTGAACTCTCAAAGGCAGGTTCATCTCTGCGAGTTAAATGCATTCATCATGAAGAACTTTCTCAGAGTGTTTGTGTTTAGTTATGGGAAATTATTCCCGTTTCCAACGAAATCCTCTGAGAGCTCCAAATATCCACCTGCAGATTCTACCAAAAGTGTATTTGGAAACTGCTCCATCAAAAGGCATGTTCAGCTCTGTGAGTGAAACTCCATCATCACAAAGAATATTCTGAGAATGCTTCCGTTTGCCTTTTATATGAACTTCCTTCCTGTACTACCGTAGGCCTCAAAGCAGTCCAAATCTCCATTTGCAGATTCTATAAAAAGAGTGATTCCAATCTGCTCTATCAATAGGATTGTTCAACTCCATGATTTGAATGCCATCCTCACAAAGCAGTTTCTGAGAATGCTTCTATCTGGTTTTTGTGTGAAGATATTTCCTTTTCCACCACAGGCCTCAAAGCCCTCCAAACGTCCACTTGCAGATTCTCGAAAAAGAGTGTTTCATAGCTGCTCTTTCAAAAGGAAAGTTCAACTCTGGGAGTTGAATGCAAACATCACAAAGTAGTTTCCGAGAATGCTTCTGTTTAGTTTTTATGTGAAGATGATCCCGTTTCCAGTGAAATCTTCAAAGAGGTCCACATATCCCCTTGCAGATTCCAAAGAAAGAGGGTTTCAAAACTGCTCCATCAGAAGGATTGTTCAACTCTGTGAGTTGAATGCAGTCATCGCAGAAAACTTTCTGAGAATGCTTCTGTCTAGGTTTGATGTGAAGATATAGACCTTTCAAACGAAGGCTACAAAGTGGTCAAAATATACACTTGCAGATTCTACTACAAGGGTGTTGCAAACCTGAACTATCAAAGGAAGGTTCAACTCTGTGAGTTGAATACAAACATCACAAAGAATGTTCTGAGTTTGCTTCCGTTCAGTTATGGGAAGTTGATCCCGTTTCCAACGAAATCCTCAGAGAGGTCCAAATATCCCCTTGCAGATTCTACAAAACGTGTGTTTGGAAACTGCTCCATCATAACGAATGTTCAGCTGCTCTGAGTTAAACTCCATCGTCACAAAGAATTTTCTGAGAGTGCTACCGTCTGGTTTTTATATGAAGTTCTTTCCTTCACTACCACAGGCCTCAAAGCGGTCCAAATCTCCACTTGCAGATTCTACAAAAAGAGTGTTTGCAAACTGCTCTATCAAAAGGAATGTTCAACTCTGGGAGTTGAATGCAATCATCACAGAGCAGTTTCTGAGAATGCTTCTATGTCGTTTTTAGGAGAAGATATTTCCTTTTCCAACACAGTCCTCCAAGCCCGCTAAATAGCCACTTGCACATTGTAGAAAAAGTGTGTCAAAGCTGCGCTATCAAAGGGAAAGTTCAACTCTGTGAGGTGAATGCAAACATCCCAAAGAAGTTTCTGAGAATGCTTCCGTTTAGCTTTTAGGTGAAGATTATCCCGTTTCCAACGAAACCTTCAAAGAGGTCCAAATATCCCCTTGCGGATCCCACAGAAAGAGTGTTTCGAAACTGCTGTTTCAAAAGGAATCTTCAACTCTGTGAGTTGAATGCAATCATCACAAAGAAGTTTCTGACAATGCTTCTCTCTCGTCTTTCTGTGAAGATAAAGGAAAAGGCTTTCAGGCCTTTTCCACCACAGGCCTGAAAGCGCTCCAAATGTCCACTTGCAGATTCTGCCAAAAGAATATTTCAAAACTGCTCTATGAAAAGCAATGTTAAACTCTGTGGCTCGAACACAAACATCACAAAGCGGTTTCTGAGAATGCTTCAGTTTAGTTTTTCTGTGGAAATATTCCCGTTTCGAAAGAAATCTTCAAAGAGGTCCACGTATCCACTTACAGATTCTACAAAAAGACAGTTTCAAAACTGCTCCATCAAAAGGAGGGTTCAACTGTGTGACTTGAATGCAATCATCACTCAGAAGTTTCTGAGAACGCTTCTGTTTAGTTTTTACGTGAACATATAGCCGTTTCGAACGAAGGCCACCCAGTGGTCCAAATATCCACTTGCAGATTCTAAAGAAAGAGTGTTTCGAACCTGAACTCTCAAAGGCAGGTTCATCTCTGCGAGTTCAATGCATTCATCATGAAGAACTTTCTCAGCGTGTTTGTGTTTAGTTATGGGAAATTATTCCCGTTTCCAACGAAATCCTCAGAGAGCTCCAAATATCCACCTGCAGATTCTACCAAAAGTGTATTTGGAAACTGCTCCATGAAAAGGCATGTTCAGCTCTGTGAGTGAAACTCCATCATCACAAAGAATATTCTGAGAATGCTTCCGTTTGCCTTTTATATGAAGTTCCTTCCTATACTACCGTAGGCCTCAAAGCAGTCCAAATCTCCATTTGCAGATTCTACAAAAAGAGTGATTCCAATCTGCTCTATCAATAGGATTGTTCAACTCCATGAGTTGAATGCCATCCTCACAAAGTCGTTTCTGAGAATGCTTCTATCTAGTTTTTATGTGAAGATATTTCCTTTTCCACCACAGGCCTCAAAGCCCTCCAAACGTCCACTTGCAGATTCTCGAAAAAGAGTGTTTCATAGCTGCTCTTTCAAAAGGAATGTTCAACTCTGGGAGTTGAATACAAACATCACAAAGTAGTTTCCGAGAATGCTTCTGTTTAGTTCTTATGTGAAGGTGATCCCGTTTCCAGTGAAATCTTCAAAGAGGTCCACATATCCCCTTGCAGATTCCAAAGAAAGAGGGTTTCAAAACTGCTCCATCAAAAGGATTGTTCAACTCTGTGAGTTGAATGCAGTCATCGCAGAAAACTTTCTGAGAATGCTTCTGTCTAGGTTTGAGGTGAAGATATAGACGTTTCAAACGAAGGCTACAAAGTGGTCAAAATATACACTTGCAGATTCTACTACAAGGGTGTTGCAAACCTCAACTATCAAAGGAAGGTTCAACTCTGTGAGTTGAATACAAACATCACAAAGAATGTTCTGAGTTTGCTTCCGTTCAGTTATGGGAAGTTGATCCCGTTTCCAACGAAATCCTCAGAGAGGTCCAAATATCCCCTTGCAGATTCTACAAAACGTGTGTTTGGAAACTGCTCCATCATAACGAATGTTCAGCTCTCTGAGTTAAACTCCATCGTCACAAAGAATTTTCTGAGAGTGCTACCGTCTGGTTTTTATATGAAGTTCTTTCCTTTACTACCACAGGCCTCAAAGCGGTCCAAATCTCCACTTGCAGATTCTACAAAAAGAGTGTTTGCAAACTGCTCTATCAAAAGGAATGTTCAACTCTGGGAGTTGAATGCAATCATCACAGAGCAGTTTCTGAGAATGCTTCTATGTCGTTTTTAGGAGAAGATATTTCCTTTTCCAACACAGTCCTCCAAGCCCGATATATATCCACTTGCACATTGTAGAAAAAGTGTGTCGAAGCTGCTCTATCAAAGGGAAAGTTCAACTCAGTGAGGTGAATGCAAACATCCCAAAGAAGTTTCTGAGAATGCTTCCGTTCAGCTTTTAGGTGAAGATTATCCCGTTTCCAACGAAAGCTTCAAAGAGGTCCAAATATCCCCTTGCGGATCCCACAGAAAGAGTGTTTCGAAACTGCTGTTTCAGAAGGAATCTTCAACTCTGTGAGTTGAATGCAATCATCACAAAGAAGTTTCTGACAATGCTTCTCTCTCGTCTTTCTGTGAAGATAAAGGAAAAGGCTTTCAGGCCTTTTCCACCACAGGCCTGAAAGCGCTCCAAATGTCCACTTGCAGATTCTGCCAAAAGAATATTTCAAAACTGCTCTATGAAAAGCAATGTTAAACTCTGCGGCTCGAACACAAACATCACAAAGCAGTTTCTGAGAATGCTTCAGTTTAGTTTTTCTGTGGAAATATTCCCGTTTCGAAAGAAATCTTCAAAGAGGTCCACGTATCCACTTACAGATTCTACAAAAAGACAGTTTCAAAACTGCTCAATCAAAAGGAGGGTTCAACCGTGTGACTTGAATGCAATCATCACTCAGAAGTTT